>NT_167244.2:1987766-2060006 GCF_000001405.40 Homo sapiens
GGCCAGGCATGGTGGCTCACGCCTATAATCCCAGCACTTTGGGAGGCCAAGGTGGGCAGATCACCTGAGGTCAGGAGTTTGAGACCAACCTGGCCAAAATAGCGAAACCTCATCTCTACTAAAAATACAAAAAATTGGCCAGGCGTGGTGGAGGGCACCTGTAATCCCAGCTACTGGGGGGCTGAGACAGGAGAATCGCTTGAACCTGTGAGGCAGAGGTTGCAGTGAGCAGAGTTGGTGCCACTGCACTCCAGCCTGGGCGACAGAGTGAGACTCCATCTCAAAAAAAAAAAAAAAAAAATTAGCTTGGGGTGGTGGTACACACCTGTAATCCCAGCTACTTGGGAAGCTGAGGCACAAGAATCACTTGAGCCTGGGAGGTGGAGGCTGCAGTGAGCCGAGATCTTGCCACTGCACTCCAGCCTGGGCAACAGAGCGAGACTCTGTCTCAAAAAAGAAAAATAAATAAAGTCCAAACTTTCCTGTCATCAAAGGCCCTCCCTAATCTTAGCCCCAAATTGTTTTTAGCCTTGTCTCCTACTCCTTCACCACATGAACCTCCCACTAAGCCTACTAGCTCACACTCTGACCTCAAACATACCTTGGGCCTTCCTCTGATGACTTCTCAGCCATTTTTCTTTTTTGAGATGGAGTCTCGCATTGTCACCCAGGCTGGAGTGCAGTGGCACAATCTCAGCTCACTGCAACCTCCTCCTCCTGGGTTCAAGCGATTCTCATGACTCAGCCTCCTAAACAGGTGGGATTATAGGCGCACGCCACCATGCCCTGCTGATTTTTGTATTTTCAGTGGAGGCAGGGTTTCACCACGTTAGGCAGCCTGGTTTCGAACTACTGACCTCAAGTGATCCGCCCACCTCAGCCTCCGAAAGTCCTGGGATTACAGGCGTGAGCCACCGCACCTGACCTCAGACATTTCTCTTAAAGGTCCATATCAAATCCCACCTCTTAGCACATCAAGGACTTCCCTTCTCCACTGAATCTACTGTGCATACTTTCCAGATCACATATTTGGCTCTCTCTTGGTTCACACCATATTTCTCCTCTCTTCAGTCCCAGGAACAAGGGACTGGCTGCTCCTCAGCTGTGTGCAGCAGTGCGCAGGACTCACCTTGCATGGGGCAGGCACACAGCTTTTTCACTACTAGTTGTGGGAAGCACAGGGGTGAAGAGTGTGGGTTTCTCCAACTGACCTTTCGTGCCCCAGGTGGTGTGGGCTGGAAGATACGGGCCTGCATGTCAGAGGGCAGATTGGCATAAATGGGCAGCACCAGGAGCTCCCGGATTTTGGAGCCCAGGCGGCGGCAGCGATCCTGGAGCATCTCACAGGCAGCCTCAATCTCCTCCTGGATAGAGGGTAGGGAGAGCAGCAGGGGTCCCAGAGTCACAGAAGGCCAACATGCCGGCCCTGTCTTCCCCTGGGATACATCATCCCCTCTCCCCACCATGTCAGGCACCTGTCCTGTCAGGAACACCAGGATATCCCCAGGGGGCTGGGTCACATGGATCTGCAACACAGATACTACACAAGCTTCCAAGTAGTCAGCCTCTGGAGCCTGGAGAGCAGAAAGAGATGGGGTCACAGGAGGGCCACCTGCTTAGGCAAACCTTTCCTCTCCTCCCAATTCAACATACACTTTATCCTAGTTCCCCTTTGAACCTTCCATTCCATCTTTCCCTCCACAGGATAACCTTCTCCAAAGGCCTCAGCTTTTCTGCCACAGACTTAAGCCCATCCTCCCTGAGGGGGCACCTTGGTGTAGAAGATGTCCACAGGAAACCTGCGTCCGGGGATTCGAAACACAGGGGCGTCATCAAAGAAGGTGGAAAAACGGGCAGTGTCCATTGTGGCTGAAGCCACCAGGACCTTGAGCTCAGGTCGGAAGCGAGCAACATCCTTGATCAATCCAAAGAGAATGTCTGTGTGTAGGGTCCTTTCGTGTGCCTCATCCACCATCACCACGCTGGGGAGGGAATAGGAGAGCAATGAGGGAAGAGCGCTAGGCAATGCAGTATCAGACACCAGGGTTAACTGGATGAGAGGGGAGTAATGGACACAAAGAGTTCAAGAATGACTGTTGACGGAGGGGGCTCTAAGGAGAAGTCAGCCATCCCACTTATGTAGAGCAACAGAAAGTCAGAGAAGGCCAGGGCCCCATGATCTGCAACCTATCCCAGCCTCAGCAGATAATAGGAAACAAGATGTAGAGGCTGCACACTGAGGCCAGGACAAGTTAGCCATACCCTCTAGTTCAGTCAAGAGTCTGCTTAGACTCAGCAGCTGCTCTTACTAGAAAAAGTTGAAGGATATGTTTTAGGCTGGGCATGGTGGTAGCTCACGCCTGTAATCCCAGCACCTTGGGAGGCCGAGGCAGGTGGATCACAAGGTCAGGAGTTCGAGACCAGTCTGGCCAATACAGTGAAACCCCGTCTCTTCTAAAAATACAAAAAAAATTAGCCAGATGTGGTGGTAGACGCCTGTAGTCCCAGCTACTTGGGAGGCTGAGGCAGGAGAATCGCTTGAACCTGGGAGGCAGAGGTTGCAGTGAGCCAAGATCGTGCCACTGCACTCCAGCCTGGGTGACAGAGCGAGACTCCATCTAAAAAAAGAAAAAAGAAAAAGTGGAAGGATTTTTTTTTTGAGACAGTCTTGCTCTGTTGCAGGCTGGAGTGTAGTGGCATGATCTCAGCTCACTGCAAGCTCCGCCTCCTGGGTTCACACCATTCTCCTGCCTCAGCCTCCCAAGTAGCTGGGACTACAGGTGCCTGCCACTGTGCCTGGCTAATTTTTTGTATTTTTAGTAGAGACGGAGTTTTGAAACAGAGTCTCACTCTGTCGCCCAGGCTGGAGTACAGTGGCACGATCTCGGCTCACCGCAAGCTCCGCCTCCTGGGTTGCGTTCACGCCATTCTCCTGCCTCAGCCTCCTGAGTAGCTGGGACTACAGGTGCCCGCCACCACGCCCAGCTAATTTTTTATATTTTTTAGTAGAGACGGGGTTTCACCGTGTTAGCCAGGATGGTCTTGATCTCCTTACCTCGTGATCCGCCTGCCTCTGCCTCCCAAAGTGCTGGGATTACAGGCGTGAGCCACCGCTCCCGGCTGATACGTTTTAAAGGAAAAAAAAAGTGGAAGGCAGGGTCCCTTTCAATAAGGGTGGGCCAGCAAGGCTGACTGGGGGTAATAGACCTGAGCTGCTGTGATTCAAATAGCCTAGAAGCTCCTGGTGTCCTGTGGGACAACTGCTGCTGGCATCATTCTTGACTGTTTCTTCTTTTGGAGACAGGAGCAAGTTAAGCCTTTCTACCTCAACTCTCACAGGACTCTGCATGCTCCTTGGTTTCCTCCTAACTCAGTTATGTGCATGACACCTTCTTTCTCTTTGTTCTTTGGCTTTTCTGGGTGGCAGCCAAGTCCCAGGAACTCATCCCCATCTTCCCCTACCCACCTCCCTGACCTCAACTCTTTGTGCCTAACCCTAACTGTGATGGTGAAGTCCCCAGCCATTCCACAAAGCAGGCTGGCTCGATGGGCAAAAACATCTGCATCAGACACTCTTGCGCTGGCTGGCTCTCCATGGGTTCTTAGAGATCTTTTGCAAGGGATATGAAGGATAAAATCCTATCTGTCCAATTGCTCCACTGTGATCTTCCAAGACCAGAAATTCACAGCCTCTGAAGAGTCAAAAAGGCACATATTGTTCAGCTGGCCTGACCCCACCCCCATTACATTCATGAATCCCTTTTCCCCCTCAACACATGTTCAACCAACCCCTGCTTGGCCATTTCCAGCACTAAGAGCTCATTATTCACAGACCAAGCTACCCAAGACTTGTGTGGAGGGCCAAGACCCAGAGTCCAACCACTCTGACAGGCCCTGCAATCTCCACCACTCTGAGGGTTACTCAGCCATTGGTATTGAGTTGGAATCTGTCTCCCTGTAACCTCCCCATGGCTCCTAGCTATGTCGTGTAGGGTCACATAAAACAATCTGATCCTTCTTTCCATGTAACAGCCTTCACATATTTAGAGGGAACCAGGATGCTTCCTGTTTCTCCCTCTGAGCTGAGCATTCCAAGTGTTTTCAAATGGTCTTCACACGGTATTTCAAGTCTCGGCAGCAATGCTCTGCTATCCTGGTTGTTTTCTAAACCCTGGAGATGAATGGGGAAAGAAGAGGCTTTCTCTACAATCTCTTCTGTCCTCCAGCCCCATCTCCGTGGTACCTGGAGGTCAGTTCAAGGACCATTTGAACCACAAAGATTCAAGAACGGGTGGATTAATCAGAAGACAATGGCTGAATTGGCTGGGTGGGAAGAAGGGAGAGAAAGGCCAGAGATTAGAGATACCTGTAACTCGCCAGGTCAGGCTCAGAGAGGAACTCCCGGAGAAGCATCCCATCTGTCATGTAGCGGAGGACAGTTCGCTCTGATGTGCAGTCCTCAAAGCGGATGCTGTAGCCAACCTGGTCAAGGGAACCATTAGCAACCAAGTGTGGGCTGGTGTGCCCTGAAAGGAACTTGGGGAAAGGTGAAGTGGGGCAGCACCAAGACTTCTGCTGTAGGGACCTGAGGGAACTGTAGACTGAGTCACAGACCCCAGACTCTACCCCCCGGTTCCCTAGAAATCTCACCTCATTCCCAAGCTTCACACCCATCTCCCGGGCCACTCGGGCGGCCACACTCATGGCAGCCACTCTCCGGGGTTGGGTGCAGGCAATCTTCATACCCTTGTTTGTATAACCCTGAATGACAAAGAAAAAAGAAGAAGTTTGCCCTTTACTAAATATGCACCCTGGGACCAGGTACATTTCAGAGAAAGAAGTTGTAAAAACCAGGCAGGAGAAAAGGAGGAAAAGACAGATGCTGAAAACCAGAAAAGAAGGGCAAATAGATAGGATGACAGACCTAGGGCCCTCAAAGGGGGTCCTCACCCAGCTCTGGGTAATTAAGTTCATGACTCTGCTAGACTTGAGCTGGAAAAGAACAGATTAGCTGAGACAGAGCCAGCTAAGGTAAAAAAGCAGGAAGGCTGGGCACAGTGGCTCATGCCTGTAATCCTAGTACTTTGGGAGGCTGAGGTGGGAGGATGGCTTGAGCTCAGGAGTTCGAGACCAGCCTGGGCAACATAGTGTGACAAAAAAATTAAAAATTCAAAATTTTGACCAGGCACAGTGGCTCACACCTGCAATTCCAGCACTTTGGGAGGCCGAGGCAGACGGATCTCCTGAGGTTGGGAGTTCGAGACCAGCCTGGCCAAAATGGTGAAACCCCGTCTACTAAAAATACAAAAAATTAGCCGAGCATGGTGGTGCATGCCTGTATTTCCAGCTACTTGGGAGGCTGAGGCAGGAGAGTCGCTTGAACCTGGGAGACAGAGGTTGCAGTAAGCCAAGATCATGCCACCGCACTCCAGCCTGGGCAACAGAGCAAGACTCTGTCTCAAAAAAAAAAAAAAAAAAATTTCAGGCCAGGCACAGTGGCTAACACCTGTAACTCCAGCACTTTGGGAGGCTGAGGTGGGCAGATCACGAGGTCAGGAGATTGAGACCATCCTGGCCAACATGGTGAAACCCCATCTCTACTAAAAATACAAAAATTAGCTGGGTGTGGTGGTACGCACCTGTAGTCCCAGCTACTTAGGAGGCTGAGGCAGGAGAATCACTTGAACCCAGGAGGTGGAGGTTGCAGTGAGTCAAGATCGCGCCACTGCACTCCAGCCTGGTGACAGAGCAAGACTCCACCTCAAAAAAAAACAAAAAATGTTTAATATGGGCATGGTGGTGTGCACCTCCCAGATACTCAGGAGGCTGAGGTGGGATGATCTCTTGAGCCCAGGAGTCCCAGGTTGCAGTGAGTCATGATGGTGCCACATCACTCCAGCTTGGGCATCAGAGCAAGAGCCTGTCTCCAAAATAAGGCAGGGGCTAGGCACAGTGGCTCACACCTGTAATCCCAGCACTTTGGGAGGCTGAGGTGGCTGGATCACTTGAGGTCAGGAGTTCGAGAGCAGCCTGGCCAACATGGTGAAACCCCATCTCTACTAAAAAATTAGCCAGGTGTGGTGGCGCATGCCTGTAATTCCAGCTACTCTGAAGGCTGACGCAGGAGAATTCCTTGAACCCAGGAGTCAGAGGTTGCAGTAAGCCAAGATCGCACCACTGCACTCCAGCCTGGGTGACAGAGCAAGACTCCGTCTCCAAAAAAAAAAAAAAAAAACTAACAAAAAGGCAGGAAAATAGTCCTTTAACTCCTTGTTTTTTGGCCACGTTGGAGCATAGGGAGGTCCACATTTATACACGCCCCACTCCACCTATCCATCTACCCGTCCTTCCAAATGAAATGAATGCAGGAAGTGAGAACAGAAATGTGAAAAGGGTATGGTCTTTACTCTCAAGAATTTCACAATTTAGTGGAAAAGATAGGTAAGTGACTACTAAAAATATAATGTAAAAGGAGCTCTGACAGGAATGAGGACATTGATGCCAGGTGCCCTGGCAAGCTGAAGGGTGAGATGACTGTACCTCCTCAAAGAGATACTGCGGGATCTGGGTGGTCTTCCCTGAGCCTGTCTCGCCTTCAATGATGAGGACTTGGTGATTTGCAATAGCAGCCAGGAGCTCCTCTCGAAATGGGAACACCGGGAGGCTGCGGCGGACGGCCTGGATGGACTCTTTCTGCTGGGCCTGAGTTGAAGTGGGTGGAGCTGACGGCTCCTAAGGAAAGAGAAGGAGGTGTGAGCTAAATAGCTCGCTACGGGTCTTCCTCAGAAAGTCTCCCAGCTCCCCTCTTACCTCATCACCCTGGAGCTGAGTGGCCCGGACAAACTCAATGGTCTCCTCCTCCTCCAGCACCAGTTGATACTTGGGCTCCTGAGAGGCAGCATCTCGGGCCCCAAACTTCAGGGACGCTGCCCCAAGCCGCGCCTCCTCCCAGCGCCGCTGCTCCTCCCCAGGGGCTCCTGATTCCTCCTCCACTAGATCCACAGCTCGGGCTGGCTACAGAGAGAGGGGATATGTGAAGACTCAAAAACAGGATGTCCTCTCTGCCCTCTCCCCTCTTCCCATTACTACCCCCGCCCACTGCCCATTGGGAACGGCAAGGCAAGAAAGGGGATGACCCACGTGTTGCCCAATCCCCTGAAGCCTTCCCCACAACTTGTCTTGGGGACCAAGGCTGAAGCAGACGCCGCTTCACCTCACCTGTCCTCGGGTTTCCTTGGGCATGTGGTAGCGATTGGTGGCCTCCAGCTTCTCCTGCTCCCCAGCTGCCCGGTACTCCCGGGCGAGATCCCGCACTCGCCGCTTATATTTGAGCTCCTGCCGCTCGTGCCGGCTCAGCTCCACGTCCCCAAAAAGGAACTCCTCATCAGCCAGCTCCGCCTCCAGGTCCTCAAGCTTCTCTCGCTCCCGCTTAGCCAGGTACTCTCGGCGAGATTTCTTCCGCAGCTCAGGGACCTGAGTTGGGAAAGGACAGTCGAATCCTCATCTTGCTGGAGGAGCAACCCCTTTCTCTACCAATCCCTACAAGGGAAAAATCCCCTGACAGGCAGGCATGAGAACCTCAGGATGCACCCTCTACCTTCCCTCTGCAATGCACAACCAAAACAATGACATACTCAAATCTGGGCCTCTTTGGATGCTACATGCTGACCCCACATCGTATCTTCCTGCAGCAGAATCCAGCTGGAAAGTCCTCTTAGGCAGCATTATCATCTTTGTTAATATAGATGCACTAGGGAGATGTCTGCGTAGCTTATATTTTACTCTTGCCATTTTATTCAAATTAGTGGAAAGGGGGAAAATAAAAGGCTAATCCAGCATTTAGAAGCACAGGACTCAAACCGAAAACAATTCAGACAAAGATAGAAACCAGTGAGGGGGCCAACAGGAGGCAATCTTCAGCCCCAGTTAGATGTTCTTTGGTCTTAAACGGAATGACTGTAGTTTGAGGAAGGGAGAAAAACTGATTATAAAAAGTTAGGACTACAGCATCAGAGTGTTTCTGTAAGGCAAATGTAATCAGGGATGTTTGGCTTTCTGGTACTAACCTCTCTTCACCATGCTGTGTCTCACTTAGTTTCTACACATTTACCTTTGATACAAACTTTTCAGGACACATTATGGATGACAGCAGAAAACTGGCAATATCTATAAGGCCCTTTCCTGCCAGGAGTCCTCCCACTATGACATCATCCTCTCTGTGATCACAACTTCCTCTACTGCAAGGTCAAAGCCCCTCTGGTGGCTGGGTGGGCGTGGTGACTCACACCTGTAATCCCAGCACTTTGAAAGGCTGAGGTGGGTGGATCACCTAAGGTCAGGAGTTAGAGACCAGCCTGGCCAACATGGTGAAATCCCGTCTCTACTGAAAATACAAAAATTAGCTGGGCATGGTAGTGGGCACCTGTAATCCCAGCTACTCGGGAGGCTGAGGCAGGAGAATCATTTGAACCCGGGAGACGGAGGTTGCAGTGAGCTTAGCTCACGCCATTGCACTCCAGCCTGAGCAACAAGAACAAAACTGCATCTTTAAAAAAAAAGCCCCTCTGCTGTTCTACCCTTAAGGGGCCTGGTTCTATTTAGTTGTTTGGCTTTTCTTGTTTGTTCTGTAAAGACTTAAAATGCAGTTTATGATCATGACCTAATCTGGGTACCACAGTCAAATATTCCTTCCATGGAAGAGCCAGATAGATTTTTTTTTTAATATGGGCAAAAAATCAGAGCCATTTGAGCATTAAAAAGAATAATGATGTGAGATTATAAAATACTGAAAAATAAAAATTCATGAGTCCAATTTGACACACACAAACAAAAAACAAGGGAAAAAAATCTGTCACCAGTGAAATGACTGTTACAGCAAACGCCTTACTCTAAAAATTCGTATTTAAAAGGAAACAAACATTTACCCTTTTTAAGAAGGAACTGTAGCTTGTTCCTAGTTGTTGAGGAAAAGCTCTTCTTTATAGACAAATTCTAGCCAATACACGTAACAGGAATGACAGAATCAAAAAATCACCATTTCGGCCGGGCGCGGTGGCTCACGCCTGTAATCCCAGCACTTTGGGAGGCTGAGGCAAGAGGATCACGAAGTCAGGAGATCGAGACCATCCTGGCTAACATGGTGAGACCCCATCTCTACTAAAAATACAAAAAATTAGCCGGGCGTGGCAGCAGGCGCCTGTAGTTCTAGCTGCTCAGGAGGCTGAGGCAGGAGAATGGCATGAACCCGGAAGGCAGAGCTTGCAGTGAGCCGAGATCGCACCGTTGCACTCCAGCCTGGGCGACAGAGCGAGACTCTGTCTCAAAAAAAAAAAAAAAAAATCACCATTTTGCAATCCCCAATAAAAATAACATGTTCAGGAAAGGATTACCAGTGGCTTCTAAAAGCATTTGATGAAAGGCTATTGGTAGAAAGGATATTAATACTAATATATAGATACACAACTGGATAGTATGTCCCCGTGATATGACATAATATGAAGTGCACATCACCGCCCAAGAAGTGTTCCTGCCACAACTGTTTAATCTGAGTGTCAATAAGCTTTAGACCCAATTCCTGCTTCAAAGAAAGCACAGGGCAGAGAAGTACTTAACACCACAAGATAAGAATCAGGCAAATCCAGAATGTAGGACACTGCAAGGTGAGACAGACAGAGAGAGAAACAAACTTAACATCTAAGACCCAAATGCAATGCATGAACCTTGACTGCATTCTTGTTAGGAAAAAGCAGTCATTAAAGTTATTTTGAGGGTAATGAGGGTATCTTTTATTGTAGAGAGATCTTAGTCGATACATAAGAATTACTGTTCAACTTCCTGACTGTGACAAGAGCATTCTGATTTTAGAGGACAATATCTTTATCCTTAGCAGGTACACACTGATGTACTTAGAGATAAAACGCCATGATGTCTAAGACTCTTTTAAATGGTCTGAAAAGAAAAAACATACCACATTTACAATTACAATGCAAATACTACCCATAGTATTAACCATTTTTCAATCTGAATAGTGTCTATGAGTGTTCTTTGTTCTATTCTTTCAACTTCCCTATGTGCTTAAATATTTTTGTAATCGAAAAAGAAAAATTACAGCTGGGCACAGTGGCTCACGCCTGTAATCTTAACATTTTGGGAGACTGAGGGGGGTGGATCGCCAAAGGTCAGGAGTTTGAGATCAGACTGGCCAACATGGTGAAACCCTATCTCTACTAAACATACAAAAATCAGCCAGGCATGCTAGTGCATGTCTGTAGTCCCAGCTGCTCGGGAGGTTGAGGCAGGAGAATCACTTGAACCCGGGAGGCGGAGGTTGCAGTGAGCCGAGATCATGCCACTGCACTCCAGCCTGGGCGACAGAATGAGATTCTGTCTCAAAAAAAACCCGAAAAATTAAATTCAGGCCAAAACAGTAACACCACTACCACCACAACTGCACTGAGATGTCCCAGAAGCCTAACCACAGTCAATTTCAGGAAGAGATATGAGATAAATTGGTCAGGAGAGACCTGGGAACCAGTAGGCCATTCTTAGAACTCCAAAAGTTGGCCGGGCACGTGGTGACTCACGCCTATAATCCCAGCACTTTGGGAGGCCGAGGCAGGTGGATCACCTGAGGTCAGGAGTTCAAGACCAGCCTGACCAACATGGAGAAACCCCATCTCTACTAAAAATACAAAATTAGCCAGGCGAGGTGGCTCATGCCTGTAATCCCAGCTACTCTGGAGGCTGAGGCAGGAGAATCGCTTGAACTCGGGAGGTGGAAGTTGCAGTGAGCCAAGATCACGCCACTGCACTTCAGCCTGAGCAACAAGTGCAAAACTCTGTTTCAAAAAAATAAATAAATGAATTTTAAAAAGTAAAAACGGCCAGGCGTAGTGGCTCATGCCTATAATCCCAACACTTTGGGAGGCCAAGGCGGGCAGATCACAAGGTCAAGAGATCAAGACCATCCTGGCCAACATGATGAAATCTCCTCTACTAAAAATACAAAAAATTAGCCGAGTGTGGTACTGCAGGCCTGTAGTCCCAGCTACTCAGGAGGCTGAGGCAGGAGAATCGCTTGATTCCTCCACCAGGGAGGCACAGGTTGTAGTGAGCTGAGATCGCACCACCACACTCCAGCCTGGCAACAGAGTGAGACTCCATCTCAAAAATAAATAAATAAAAATAAAAAATAAAACAAAACAAATAAAAAGAAGGCTGGGCATGGTGGCTCACGCCTGTAATTCCAGCTCTCTGGGAGGCCAAAGCAGGTGGATCACAAGGTCAGGGGTTCGAGACCACCCTGGCCAACATGGTGAAACCCCGTCTCTACTAAAGGTACAAAAAATTAGCCAGGCGTGGTGGTGTGCGCCTGTAATCCCAGCTACTCAGGAGGCGGAGGTTGCAGTGAGCCGAGATCGCATCATTGCACTCCAGCCTCGGTGACAGGGCAAGACCCCGTTTCAAAAAAAAGAAAAAAGGTTTAAAAAAAAAAAAAAAAAAAAAAAGGAACTTCAAGAGTCTCAAAATTCTATTGGGGTATTGGGGAATCTAAGTGTGACTTTACTTGACAAGACCAGGCCTTTGGAAAACAGCTTACCCTACCTAGTTTCACACCATAAAAAGTCCAGTTTATGAATTACAAGGGCTCTGTCCCTGTCCAGTGAGAAGACACAGGGAGATCACAAAGCCACATAAGGGGTGCAGGAATTAGGTGGTGGGAAGGTATTTGGAGATGGTGTGCCTAAGCTGAATGGTCAGCACATCCCTGTACAGTGGGACTGCTGCCCTGCCCTTGCCCTCCAGCAACCTTCTTGACAACATTCCAGCTGCCTCATATCTCATTAGGACTCAGGAATAGGGAAAGCTCACAATTTCATTCACTAATAGAGTATATTTGATCCTAAAGTTAAGAGTCAAGGAGGACTTATGGGTAGCCTCCTTCCCCCTACAACTTAAGAAGGATCCTTCCCTCAACAACATAAGTCTATCCTCAGCTGGCTCCTAACAACCAAGCCCCTCTTCTAGAAACCTGACCACCCCATCAGCATCCACACTGTGCTTCCTCTGTATCCTCTCTCCCTATACACTCTATCAGAAAGTCTTTCCTTTTGTCTTCTGATCTTGGCTCCCTAGGCCCTGGGACTCACCATGGCCTTCCGGTCTTCCTCGGCCATCTTGAGGCGCTTCTGAGCCTCTTCATAAGCCTAGAAGAAAAAACAAGAATGGAGGGGTGTGAGGCCAAAGAGCCCCCACACTGACAGCTGCTCCCCTCTAGAATCACAAGGATCATTCAGATGCGCCCTAACACAAAAAATGTCCCCTCTCAGTGAGGAATCTCTCTGATTGCAGGTACAGCAGACAGTTGTCTTAGCCACAGGATGCACAGGGCTTCTCTCACCACAGAGGTGAACATCTCACTAGAGACAGCCCCTTGTCTTCCCAGAGATCACTATCTCTGCACTCACAGCCAACCTCAGATTTCACCCTGGGATCTTGGGGATTTACAGAACATGCTGCTCCTATTCACCTTCTTGTCTGACCGTTCCAGGACATTTCGAGTCCGATCCTTGTCCCGCTGTCGAACCCGCTCAGCAAAGGCATCACGCTCCTCCAGGTCCTGAAGGCGTTCACGCTCTGTCCGTTCCCACTCATCTTCCGACTCTGGCTTCTCTGTCTGCTGTTTACTCCCCCTGCAGCCCATCCAGGGGATTAAATAAGGGCATAGAGAACACTTCAGCCTGCCCCATCCTCTCTCACCCTGCTTCTGACTTACCCTGTTTTCTTCTTCCCTTTCTCAGAAGCCTCTTCCTCCTCTTCTTCCTCACGCTTCTTCCTGAGGTGTTTCCGCTTTTTACGTTTCTTCTGGAGGCTGCTTCCAGCCCTACTCACAGTCTCCTCACTGCTCTCTTCACTGTCTTCCAGTAACCTATAAGATCGGTTCTTCTCCAGCAGGGCCCGGGCCTCTCGCTCTGCTGCCCGAGCTGGCTTTTCTACCACTGCCTTTCGTGGTACCTGTCAGTAGAGGGGAAGATAAGGAGGTCTGAGCAACTCCTGATCTCTGCCCTCCCACTTAGCTCTGTTCCTAATTTAAGCAATTACTTAGTCTTTCCTGCCCCCGCGGCCCGGCCCCACTGTCAGGCAATGGCGTGATCTCGGCTCACTTCAACCTCCGCCTCCCAGGTTCAAGCAATTCTCCTGCCTCAGCCTCCCAAGTAGCTGAGATTACAGGCACATGCCACCACGCCCGACTATTTTTGTATTTTTAGTAGAGATGAGGTTTCACCATGTTGGCCAGGCTGGTCTCAAACTCCTGACCTCATGATCCACTCACCTCAGCCTCCCAAAGTGCTGGGATTACAGGCATGAGCCACCGCACCCGGGCACAATTACTTAGTTTTAAACCAGCTAACCAGCATTCATTCTCTTTCTTCCTCATGGCTTCACCCCATCTTCATCATCCTGAATGGGGTTTTTTATTTTTTTTTACAGACAGGGTTTCACTCTGTCCCTCTTGGGCTCAAGGGATCCTCCCACCTCAGGCTCCTAAGTAGCTAGAAACACAGGTGCACACTACCACGCTCAACTAATTTTTAATTTTTTTGTAGGACGAAGGTTTCGCCATGTTGCCCAGGCTGGTCTCGAACTCCTGGGCTCAAGTAATCCTCCTGCCTCAGCCTCCCGGGGTGCTGGGATTACAGGTGTGAGCCACTGCACCCGGCCCCCTCTGTTAATTAAACGACTGAAAGGAAGTTCAGAAGATGAGGGGGGCCGGGCATGGTGGCTCACGCCTGTAATCTCAGCACTCTGAGGGGGCTGAGAGAGGATTGCTTGAGCTGAGGAGTTAGAGACCAGCCTGCGCAACACACCAAGGCCTCATCTCTAAAAATAAAAATAAAAATAAAAGATATTAGCCGGGGGTGGTGGCGCGCGCCCGTAGTCCCAGCTACCGGGGAAGATGAGGTGGGAGGGTCGCTTCAACCAGGGAGGTCGACGCTGTAGTGAGCCGTGATCTTACGACCGCACTCCAGCCTGGGCGACGGGGCGAGCGAGACTGTGTCTCTCAAAAAAAAAAAAAAGAAAGAAAGAAATGCAGAAACTAAGATCCCTACTGAATCGCAATCTGCATTTTAACAAGAACCTTGGATGCATGTTAAGAGTTCGAGAAACACCGTTCTATTGCGCTTAACCCGACACACCTAAGCCCTCCTCAATCTTCTCCACTGAGCTGGGCGTCCAGCAGCTAGCACAGTACCTACGCGACAACGGACAAAGAATAAGTGCTTGTGAACTGAGCTTTCTTAACTTCTCGATGGACCGTTAGGCCAGCCTCACCGGGACAAATCACAGGGCCCCTCCCCACCCCTGCCGACACCTTGTTCCAGAGTCTCAGGGCGAAGTCCCGGGCCGGCCCACTGAGATCCAAGGTATCAGTGTCTCGTAGGCGCTGCACGAACTCCTCGGCAGAGGTGCAGCGCTGTGCGGTACCGATCAGAAACTGGGCGACGTGCCGCTCGCTCAGCCCCAACACCGAGTGCAGCTCGTCCTGAACCCAGCGCTCCAGACCCGCCGGCGTCGCCATGGCGACTCACGCTCCCTGCTCCCGGCCCTGAAGCGTCGGGCAGCCGCGCTCACTGCTGGGCCGGTCAGAGGCCTGGAGCCCTCGGCTGGAGCCTCAGCTTCGCAAGTCAGCTACCTTGGGACCTCTAGGATCTTCCGACATCCCAAAGCTGTCTTCCCGTACCGCGGAGCCCGGAAGGGGCTGTACTTTTTCGGCCTCTAAGCACTACGGTGGCCGAGCGAGTTCAAACCTCGCGGAACCATACCTGAAAACTCGGGGTAATTCTTTTTTCTTCATTTCGCCTCTGTCCAGTTTCTCTGACGCCCCCTGATGGTCAGTCTGTGAGTGCTTCGCTCACGCATTCATTCAACAAGTGAAATTAATTTAATGGATGCCTAATGTGTGCTCATTGCTTTCCGTCCCTGGGATATAGCAGAGGACAAATCAAAAGTTCCTTACCAAATTTACATTTTGCGGTGGGGGAGGGACAGGATACATAATAAAGAAAGTATGGAAATTTTATAGAGCCAAAAACTATACAAAGTAAGGGAGGAATGAAATTCTATTTCAGATTGGAAGATCGGGTCCATGCTCATAAAACATATTAGCATTGTTGGCCGGGCGCGGTGGCTCATGCCTGTAATCCCAGCACTTTGGGAGGCCAAGGCGGGCGGATTATCTGAGGTCAGGAGTTCGAGACCAGCCTGGCCAAGATGGCGAAACCCTGTCTCTACTAAAAATATAAAAATTAGCCTGGCGTGGTGGTGTGCGCCTGTAGTCCCAGCCACTCGGGAGGCTGAGGCAGGAGAATCATTTGAACATGGGAAGCAGAGTTTGCAGTGAGCCGAGATCCCACCACGGCACTCCAGCCTGAGCAACAGAGGAAGTCTCTGTCTCAAACAAACAAAAAAGTGACCGTTGCTAGGACTGGTTTGCCTGCAGCAGGAGTGAAGACAGGTCAGGTATAAGGGAAGACCTCTAGGCAGGAAGAAACTGGGGAACTGGGGAAAGTTGTTAAAGACAAAATCTCCAAACTAAGGAACAGGCAAACTGTGTTCTGCATTTTTGCTTAACAGCTTGAGAAAATCACTGGTGGCTGCTTATTTAAAAGTAAGCAAGGCCAGGTGCAGTGGCTCTTGCTGTAATCCCAGCACTTTGGGAGGCTGAGGCAGGAGGATATCTTGAGACCAGGGGTTTGAGACCAGCCTGGGCAACAGGGTGAGACCCCACCATCTCTACAAAAAATTAGCCAGGTGTGGAGGTGTGCACCTGTAGTCCCAGCTACTCTGGAGACTGAGACAGGAGAATTTTTTTTTTTTTTTTTGGAGACAGAGTCTCGCTCTGTTGCCCAGACTGGAGTGCAATGGCACGATCTCGGCTCACTGCAACTTCCGCCTCCCAGGTTCAAGTGATTCTCCTGCCTCAGCCTCCTGAGTAGCTGGAATTACAAGTGTGACAAGCACATGCCATCACGCCCAGCTAGTTTTTGTATTTTTAATACAGATGGGGTTTTACCATGTTGGTCAGGCTGGTCTCAAACTCCTGACCTCATGATCCGCCCGTCTCGGCCTCCCAAAGTGCTGGGATTACAGGCGTGAGCCACCGCACTGGGCCTGAGACAGGAGAATCTCTTGAGCCCAGGAGCCAGAGGTTGCAGTGAGCCGAGGTCAGGCACTCCAACCTAGGCAACAGACCAAGACTATGCTCAAAAAAAAAAAAACAAACAAAACAAAAAGCTGAATTTGTTACTCGATGCTCTGCTGTCTGATTTGTTTGATCCTGCATCATACTTTTGTGATTAATTGCAGTTACCAGGCACTACTGTTAGGAAATGAAACATTGTTCTTATTAATAGCCACAAGTGGATCTACATCACTGACTTTTTTTTTTTTTTTTTTGGAAAGGGAGTCTCGGAGTCTCACTCTGTCGCCCAGGCTGGAATGCAGTGGCGTGATCTTGGCTCACTGCAGCCTCCACCTCCTGGGTTCAAGCAATTCTCCTGCCTCAGCCTCCTGAGTAGGTGGGACTACAGGTGCGTGCCACCACGTCCAGCTAATTTTTTGTATTTTAGTAGAGACGGGGTTTCATCATGTTGCCCAGGCTGGTCTCAAACTCCTCAGATGAGGCAGTCCACCCGCCTTGGCATCCCAAAGTGTTAGGATTACAGGCATGAGCCACCACACCTGGCCTGACCTCTTGAATGCATTGTTTTCTGTTTCTGAGATGGACTGTGAGCACCCCTGGCACCTCGGAGCTTCCTAACTCTGTTTTCCTGGGTCACAACTGGAAACTTTTTAAGACCTTTACCTAACAGGCTACTAATATAATCATTCTGTTTCCTTCCCTACCCAGACCTTCTCTGAACTGGCTGAGTCTTTTGACACCTGGCTTGTTCTCTTGCTAGTAAATTGAAAACCTTTGGCGTATGCTTAAGTTCAATTTGTCTCATATATTTTGTTTTATAGTAAAGGTGTGGGGCCTCCTCTGACCAGTCTGAGAGGAGCAACTTGTAGTGGTAGAAGGACTATAACTATTCAACCATATCTTTGTTAGCCTGGAGAGCTAACAACAAACAAACAAATTTTCCTGATGAGTAAAATATTGATGTTCCACATTTGTATAAGATATTCTTTGAAATGGGAAAATTCCAAATATCAACTACATGGGCACCAAAGCCATGCACTATCAAGATGGTTTTTAAACCTTTTTTTTTTTTTTTGAGATGGAGTCTCACTCTGCTGCCCAGGCTGGAGTGTAATGGCGCAATCTCAGCTCACTGCAAGCTCCACCTCCCGGGTTCATGCCATTCTCCTGCCTCAGCCTCCCGAGTAGCTGGGACTACAGGTGCCCACCACTATGCCCCGCTAATTTTTTGTATTTTTAGTAGAGACGGGGTTTCACCGTGTTAGCCAGGATGGTCTCAATCTCCTGACCTTATGATCCGCCTGCCTCGGCCTCCCAAAGTGCTGGGATCACAGGCGTGAGCCACCGTGCCCGGCCTTTAGGCCTTTAACGATATAAAATCCATTGTCTATCAGAGGGGAACCTTTTCCAGGAAACTGACTCTTGTACATACTTACTTCATTTTGCAGCAATTTCAGATTTAGTATTCGTAGCCCCAGCTCTTTAAGTAAGTATCCCTGGATTAGCCACATGGGTTGTGTCATACACTACCTAGCTGCCTTCATGGCAGCAGGCTTCTGAATACTAGAACCCTTCAACTCAAAGTGTCCTCTGTAATATTTTAACCCTTTTCTTCTATTCATTCATTTGTTGTCATTCATTCTAGAAATAATTCCGTGTCTACTAGTTGACAGGTACAGGATATTGCAGTGAATCCAGCTGATGTAGTCAGCCCTCATGGCACTTCCAGTCTAGTGGACACTTCAACTGCCCTTTCTCATGTCACCTGCTTGTCCTGCGTGAAACCCACGTGCAGCTTCCCAGACCCCTTTTGACATGTCAGTGCCGAGTTCCTGGTTCATCCCCCATCATTTTCCTCTCCCCCAGCCACCAGAGCCTCCCCTCACATACCCTTTTTTTTTCCCAAAGAAGGAGAAGCAGACGAGTTGAAGAGAACTCCATTTTATTATGGAAAGTTAAAAAACAAACAAAACAAAACAGGCAATTGATAAAGGCGGCACAATGGGGAAGGAGAGGTGAGGTGTCTCCTTAGCCACCCGACACCATCTCAATTCAGTTCAATTGTGAACCACTAGGAGAAACAGAATTAAATAACTATCAAGGGGTACAGAGTTAAGAGTTCCAGCCTTCCCTCTTGGGGAAAACTAAGGCAAAGTAATACTGAGAAAAAGTGGAGGAAGCCACACCTTCAGGTCACTCCAATGAGGAGACTGGAGGGGACAGAGGAGAGAATTCCACGCAGACACAGCAAGTAAGCGTGGCTTGTAAACCTGGGACTTTGGCAGGTGGGGCTGGGAGCTGATGGAATTTGTAAACCAGGCTGTGGTCAAGGGAGGAGGCAGGAGCTGTAAACAAAGGGGCAGTGACCTAGGAAATGAAGGAGATGTGCCTATAAATGGAGTGGGGTCTGGGCCTCCCAGAGAGACGAGTGCTTAAATCCCGAGAGTCCCCACGGGATGGTGGGGAGGAAGGCTGTGGGGAGAGTGTACCCTGCCATGGGGGGCAGGTGCTCCATCTCCACCCTCCAGGGAGTTCTGTGCCCCTTCTCAGGACTTGGCGCTCACTCTTGGATGACCTAGGATGCACCAGCACGTTTAACCCCACCCACACCAGGGACTTTGGATTAGGGTAGAAATTGGGCAATTGGCTCTGCCCCCAGAAACAGGGTGGGGAAAGCAAGTTACAAGATGTTGGTTGCCCTTCCCTGCCAGGCTCATTATCAGGGTCTGTCTGCCCTGAATCTTCCGGGCTCCAGGATCTTCAGTTATAAGAAGGAGGGAGGTATATCCCTATGTTGGAAGATGGTCACCGCCGGCAGGACTCATCTGTGGGAGAGGGGGCAATAATGTTAGAGAATGAGTGAGAGCCTCTGCCTTCTGCCCACCCTTCCCCCCCACACAAATTGAAGGGCAGTTGGCATGCAGGAAGTCCTATAATATCTTCCATATCTAAAGCATGTTACCACCAGTAACCACATCCATCACTCATTTAGCTCGGACTCTGTGCCAGGCATCCTTATAACTGTTTAATCTCACCATAACTCCAGGAGAGATTAAGTAATATGATATCCAGCTGTGGCTCTTGGTGCTTCACAAAAAATTACTTAATCTTGGCCTGGAGCACCTGTAATCCAAGCAATTTGGGAGGCTGAGGCAGGAGGATCACTTGAGGTCAGGAGTTCAAGACCAGCCTGACCAACATGGGGAAACCCTGTCTCTACTAAAAATATAAAAACTAGCCAGGTGTGATGGTACACATCTGTAATCCCAGCTACTAGAGAGGCTGAGGCACAAGAATCGCTTGAATTTGGGAGGCAGAGGTTGCAGTGAGCCAAGGTTGTGCCACTGCATTCCAGTCCAGGCGACAGAGGGAGACGCTGTCTCAAAATAAATAAATAAATAAATAAATAAAATTACTTAATATTTTCTACAAGTCTAGGAGGTAGTTTTTGGTTTCTGTTTTTTTGAGACAGAATTTCACTCTGTCACCCAGGCTGGAGTGTAGTGGCGTCATCTCGGCTCACTGCAACCTCTGCTTCCCGGGTTCAAGTGATTCTCCTGCCTCAGACTCCCGAGTAGCAGGGATTACAGGTGTCCACCTCCATGCCTAGCTAATTTTTGTATTTTTAGTAGAGATGGGTTTTCACTATGTTGGCCAGGCTGGTCTTGAACTTCTGACCTTGAGTGATCCACCTGCCTCGGCCTCCCAAAGTGCTGAGATTACAGGCGTGAGCCACCGTGCCTGGCCTGTTTGTTTCTTTTGAGACAGGTCTTCCTTTGTTGCCCAGGCTGGAGTGCAGTGGGTGGTGCAATATTGGTTCACTGCAGCCTCCAACTCCTGAGGTCAAACGATGCTCCCACCTCAGCCTTCCAAGTACCTGGAACCACAGCTGCGCACTGCCACACCTGGCTAATTTTTTTTTTTTTTTTTGAGACGGAGTCTCACTCTGTTGTCAAGGCTGGAGTGCAGTGGCACGACCTCGGCTCACTGCAAGCTCCGCCTCCCAGGTTCACGCCATTCTCCTGCCTCAGCCTCCCAAGTAGTTGGGACTACAGGTGCCCGCCACCACGCCCAGCTAATTTTTTTTTGTATTTTTAGTAGAGATGGGGTTTCACCGTGTTAGCCAGGATGGTCTCGATCTCCTGACTTCGTGATCCGCCCGCCTCGGCCTCCCAAAGTGCTGGGATCACAGGCGTGAGCCACCGTGCCCGGCCCACACCTGGATAATTTTTCAATTTTTTTGTAGAGACAGGATTTTGCCATGTTGCCCAGGGTGGTCTTGAACTCCTGGGCTCAAGCGATCCACCCGTCTTGGCTTCCCGAAGTGCTGGGATTACAGGCATGAGCCACAGGAGGTAGTTATTATTAACTTCATTTCATAAATAATAAACTAAAGCAAGAGATCAGATGGTTTCCCTGAGATCACACAATTAAAGAGACAAGCTGGAATTCCAACTCAGGCCTGTCGACCCACCCTGTGATTTTGACCAGATTACAGCACTCAGGAAGAGTTCTCGTTTTGAAACCTGAAGACTCAATGTGTACTTCACTGCCGGGGACCTCAGTTTGCCCATCTGTTAAAGGAGCATGTTGAACCAGAGGACCCGCCAAGCCCCTTCCGAGTGCCTACATGTAATCCTCCCTCCTCTCTCCTGGACCACAGCGCCCGCTCTGACAGCAGGGGGCGCCCTCGGGCCGGCGGAGCCTCCGCTTACCCACAATCAGGGCCTTGGTGCGCAGCCCGCCCTGGAGCTCTGGCTGCAGGAGCAGCAGCTCTTCCTCATCCTCTTCGTCGTCGGGTTGGGCTGCTGGAGGGTTGGGGGCACTGGGGACCTCAGGCTCCGGGCCCAGCTCCTCCAGTACCGAACTCTCGGAGGGGTATTGGTACGTGGTCTCCAGGGCTGTCTCGCTGAAGGAGATCTTAAGCTGAAGGAGGGAGAAAAAGGGGGCAGGAGGCAAGGTCAGCAGGGGAGAAGCCCGCGGGGGTTGAGGGAGAGAAAGCGGGGGCGGGGGGGGCGGAGTCTGCAAGGGAGCAGGTGGGACTGGCGGAACGTGGGGGTGGGGGCTGGACTCAGGTGCCCCACTCACTCTCCCCATCCACTCTGGGATCCAGTTTTCCTTTCCATACTGGCTCTCCAATTCTAGAGTTTCCCTCTTCGATCATATCATTTCAAAACATCAGACTTTGCCCTGTACGTTGGCAGGGGCTTGGGAGGCAGAAGTGAATAATATAAGACCAAGGTCCCTGCTATTTCGAGTGTGGGAGGCAGAGGGGTAAAAAGAAATTAAAATACATGGCGATAAGTCTTGTGATCAGAACCGAGTCTTTGGGCACCTTGGGGGCAATCGAGTGAACTTCCCAGAGGAGCCCAGCAGACTGGCCAGTGGGGAAAGAACTGGCTGGGGAGCGAGTCTCAGACAAAAGCAAGGTTTTCATACCCACAGCCCCTTGCTGTCCTATGCAAAACCCAGGACCCTGGGCACCTGTTCCCTCCTACTCTCCTCATTCCTCTCCTATCCATAGCAAAGGGAGTCTAGGGCCTAGGAAGAGATGGGAGATGAACAGAAAGGCCGAGAGGAACCAAGAGACTCCAGCAACACACAGGGGAAAGATGAGCCGCTGACACCCTGAAGGCTGGGGGAGATGACAAGGGCAGAAAGGAAAGTCCACACAAACCTGGGGTGGGGGTCCACAGTGTGCCCAAAGGGACAGGCACAGAGACAAAATACCAGACAGGGCACAGAAAACCCTTGGTAATCACACTGTCCCAAGAGCAGGCGAGTCCCAGCTGTTCTCACTGCCTTTCTACCCTTCCCCTTTGCCCTATTAAGAAGCTCAGGGGGAAGGGGCAGGGTGGGATTAAGTCTAGGAGCCAAAGGGATTAGGGAGACAGCAGGAGGATTCCATATGAACTACTTGGAAAGGTCCAAATGATCTACTCAGGCCTTCCCTGGCATCTGTTTGGGAAGACTTGGGGTCAGCCGTACATCCCTGAGTCCCCTAATGAACTGAGGTATGAAAAGAGAGAAGCCAGAAGGGTGGCTGGGCAGGTGGTTGTTAAGAGCTGCATCAATATGACACCAGTCAGGCATGGTGGCTCACACCTGTAGCCCCAGCACTTTGGGAGGTTGAGGCGGGAGGATTTCTTGAGCCCAGGAGTTCGAGACCAGCCTGGGCAATAGAGTGACACTGTCTCTAAAAAAGAAAAAAAAAGAAAACCAGATATGACACCTGGGTCCCCATGGGAAGGTAGAACTCAGGAACTGTATATGTTACTCCTTGTTGGCTCTGAACCCTGCAGTGTCTCCCCATCTCACTTGGAGCAAAAAGTCTACTCCAGGCTGGGCGCGGTGGTTCATGCCTATAATCCCAGAACTTTGGGAGGCCGAGGCGGGCGGATCACAAGGTCAAGAGATTGAGACCATCCTGGCCAACATGGTGAAACCTGTCTCTACTAAAAATACAAAAAAATTAGCTGGGCATGGTGGCGTGCACCTGTAGTCCCAGCTACTCGAGAGGACGAGGCAGGAGAATTGCTTGAACCCGGGAGGCGGAGGTTGCAGTGAGCCGAGGTCGCGCCACTGCTCTACGGCTTGGGCAACAGAGCAAGACTCTGTCTCAAAAAAAAAAAAAAAAAAAAGTCTACTTGATTGCCCCCAAGGTGCCCAGAGCCTGACCAAAGCCTACAGGGTGCTCCCAGTATGCCACCCTCCCCTTGCCTCTCTGGCCTCTTCCTCCACTCCAGCCACACTGGCCTTGGTTCCCTCCACGCACTCCTACCTCAGGACCAGAACAGTACTAGCTATTCCTTCTGCCTGGAACACTCCCCCAAAATATCCCCATGGCTCTGACCCTCCTGATCACCCTATTTTGAAGTCTCCATATTCACTCCCCCTACCTCCTGACCCTCTAAGTTCCACTGTTCTATTTTTTTTTCCATAATCACTTACCACCTTCTAACTTACTAGATAATTTACTAATATATTATACTCATGTCTGCTGTTGAAAGGAGCTTGGGGCCGGGTAAGGTGGCTCACCCCTGTAATCCCAGCACTTTGGGAGGCCAAGACAGGTGGATCACTTGAGGTCAGGAGTTCGAGACCAGCCTGGCTAACATGGTGAAACCCCGTCTCTACTAAAAATACTAAAATTAGCCGGGTATGGTGGCGTGCGCCTGTAATTCCAGCTACTCAGGAGGCTGAGGCTGGAGAATCACTTGAACCCGGGAGGTGGAGGTTGCAGTGAGCCGAAATCTCACCATTGAACTCCAGGCTGGGAGACAGCGAGACTGTCTCAGAAAAAAAAAAGAAAAGAAAAGAAAAAAGAAAGGAGCTTAGAAGTTGGTACAATGCAAGAGGTTAGGGTTTGTTCAGACCTCACATGAGGTGCCATCAGAGGACCAATGCTGGGGAAACGATCTGCGGGTGGTCCAGCCTGTACACATTTGACCCCCAGTTCATGTCTGTGGAACTGCTGGTAGAATCTAGTGACAGCAGCCAGACTGCTTATATCCCAAGTTCTCAGAAGGGACCGCTTAGGTTTCTGTAACTGACAGATTTACCCACATTTCTGGGAACCCATTTTTGTTTTCTTCTCATATCCTCTTTTGGAATAATAACCTCTGTACTTTATTTTCTACTCTGAAAATGACTTATTTTATTTGCTCTCGGTCTATGTTTATATCTCCCCCCCTACCCTGCCTGTCTCCTCACCCCCCACCAACTTCTGACTGGGCTTCTCAGAAATGCACAGCCTGCATGGGAGTGGGGGGGTAGAGAGGGGGTGACTCACTCGCTCCTCTCCCATCAGCTATATAAGGTCACAATGGGGCTGGTCTCTCAGCCCAACCAAGAGGCCTCTGGGGTAGGGCACCAGCCACAGCCATCCCCTGGGCTCCAGTGGCAGGGCTGGGATTTCTCTCCTGATGGCAGGGATAAATTTGATGGAATTAGCCTGCAAACGAGTTATTTAGGGAAGGTGAAGCGGGGGTTGGTGGCAGGGTCCTCCTATCTCCTATTCCTGAGCCAGTGTGTTGCAGCAGAGCTGGGACAAGGCACCCAGTCCCTGAAGAACAGGTTGCTGACAGGGGGTAGAGGGTGGAGGGTGAGGCGTCTGGGTCAGAGGAACTCTGTGCTGCCTCCTCCCCACCCCCACCCAAGCAGCGGCTGCTTCCTTATTCTCTCACCACATCCTGAGCACAGATCTGGCAGGCCCAGGGCCCAGGGCCCAGGGTTCCCCACTCAGCCCCACCAGCCTTCCGGCCCCCACCCCAGGCTTCCTGTTTGGGCGATCTGCTTCCGGCTCCCCTGCTCTCTGGCCTAGGTATGGTCACCAGCACAGGTCCTGCCCTGCACTTGCTTCCTGGCTCCCCTGGGATGCTCCCTGGGCTTTGGGCCCCAAAGCTTCATGCTTCCCTCTGCTCATTCTTCCCCAGAGGCACAAGCCTCTCTCAGTAGGAAGTGACTTTTCTGAACACCTCACCCGGGTAGCATTTCCGGACTTCTGTTTTTTTCATCTGCCCAGCCCTGAGGGGAACAGGCTGGTAGCAGTCAGAGGGCTGAGGGTAGGTTCCCAAGAACCATGGCTTAGAGGTGGGAGCTTACGCTTCATGTGAAGATGAATTGGGGGATCAAATGAACCCCCCTCCACCCAAGGCTTAACCCGTATCTTTAGTCCCTGTGGTTCCCCACTGACACTGAGGACACAAAAAAATCAAATCTGAGGATGTTAACACATGGGATGAGAATGAGACTGGGCTTCCCAGGCTCTGGGGAGATGTGTGTGACTGGAGGGACTTCCTAAGTCTGAGATGTCTGAGTGTGGGACCTCTGTCTCCCTAGAGATTTTCAAGCTGGAAACAGATGGATGTGCACAGGGAAGAAGTGAGGCCAGGGCCAGGGGGAGTCATCCTGGCTGCCCCCACTTTCCTGCAGGTCTTTGTTGCAAGTCTAACCTCTGACCCTCTGCTGGCCTCAGCCCCAACCCCTGTCCAGAACTCCCACTGTGCTCCCTGGCCAGTGCCTGTTCTCAAAACTGTCTCCAAATTCACTTCTCTCTTTTGCTACCCTAAGGGGAGGGAAAGTCCAGGATGGCAGGAAAAGAGGGGAAAACCGATCCCTGAGCCAGTTCTTGGGAGGGAGGGGAAACCCAGGGAGGAAGGACAGGGGAGTGAGGGGCGGGGGTATTTTGGAAGAGGAGAAGGCTTTTCTTGTCCCAAGAGAGAAGGGAGCACTGTCTGAAGCAGTGGCCCAGCTGGGGGTGTGCAACCCCGAGGTCACCCACTTCAAATGGCCTCTCTGTGTCTCTCCCATGGGGCAGACTCGGGGTTCAAAAGCCTTCTCTCTGCTCTTTGGCCGGCCCGGTTCCATCTCCCCTCTCCCCTCCATCCTAGGATGTCCCTATTCAGCTCTGCCCTCCTTCCCACGGGGCAGTTGGACCTTTCTCCATTCACTTCTCCCTGCAGTTTCTCCCTAGAACACAAACCCACCCCACCCCCTCCACCACCCCAGGCTCCCTATCCCTTCTCCCCAGAAAAACTGCAAGTGCTCTCACCCTGGTGACCCTGCCCTCACTGATTCAAGCTCGTCACTTTAGGCTCTCCCACTGGATGGGCTGGGGCAGGTCACACTCAGGAAAGGAAGGAAAGAAAAGGGGGTTGGAAACTCAGAGCCCAAGGGAAGGGAGAATGAGCAGCCTGGCACACCCTGAAAGAGACACACCCAGAGACAGCCTTTGCTGGGGCAGGATCTTTTGGGCTCAAAATGGAAAAGGAGGGCTCTGAGAAGGAAGGGTGTATGTGCAGAGCGAGGAAGGGTGGTGGCAGGAATTAACAAGAAAGAATAGAGGAAGACAAGAAAACAGGGGTATAAAAAAGAAAGAGACCAGAGTCCAGAGAAAATTGACAAGTGGACTTCTAAGAAGTCTGGCTTGGCTGCTTCCCTACCTGTTTGTGGTGTCTTTCGGGGGACCCCTTGGCAAGGCAGCTGCGGCTGAGACGGAGGTAGCCCCCCAGAACCAAGATCTCCTCGGCAGTTGGGTACCGCTTCTTCCCAGCCCCCGGGACTGCAGCATCAACTGTGGCTGGAGAGGTTGGGGTGGCTGGGGTCGCAGGGGGCACAGACCGCCGGGGGTTGACGGTGAAGGTGTGTCCACTGCGGCGGGGGGCCCCCACCCCTGGCCCTGCCTTCACCCCATAGAACAGGCGGCTCATGAGGGGATCCCCAGGAGGTTGGGGGGCAGTTGGGGCTGGGGGTGGGGGAGACAGAGGGGCTGGTGGTGGGGGCTGGAGCTCCACTGCTTCCTCTTCCTGCTGTCTCAGGCCTCCAGTCCCAGCGTCCTCTGGTGGGAGGGGGGAGGGCACAGAGCAGCAGTTCTGCAGGGCTCTCAGAGGCCTGCCCTGAGCCCCCGCCTCCTCCTTCTCAGCCTCCCCTTCTCCAGCCTCCACACCGGGAGATTCCAGAAGCTTCTCTGCTGACTCTGGAGGTTCTGGTTTCTGAGTTTGAGCCTCTATGTCCCTGGGTGTCCATTCTCGAGCCTTCCCGGAGTTCAGGGTCCATTTCCACCCTTCTGTTGGCTTCATGCCCCTCTCGCCATCTTCCACAGGCCTCTGCTCTGCTGCCTCCACTCCTGCGGAACTGTTGCCTTGGGCCTCCCTTGTCAGGGTCTCGGACAGCTCTGCAGTCTCTTTTGGAGCTACCCCTGGAACTGGCCACTCTTCTTTTCTCCCACATTCTTCCGAGTAGTCTTGTCTTTCTTCTCCTGACCTCAGCCTCCACTCTGTTGCCTCCAGTTGTACCAAACTCTGTTCCTGAGACTCTCTGGAGTCAGGTCTCCATTTATGGGCCTCTGTCAGGCCCAACTTCTGGTAGGCAGATTCCCCTGGGCTCAGTCTACTTTCCACCTCTTTTCTCCTGGGGCTTTGCTCTCGAGACTCTGCTAGTCTCAGACTCCGCTCTGGAGTTTCTCCAGGACTCAGCCTCCATTTCCATGCCTCTGACAGTCGGGAGCTCCTGTCTCCCACCTCTCCTGGGCTTTGCCTCCAGTCCCGAGCCTCCAGAGGCCTCAGGCTCAACTCTTGGGCTCCCCCTATCCCCAGCCTCCTCTCTCTGGTCTCCCTCGGACTTAGTCTCTCTTCTCTTGACTCTCTTCCCTTGGGGCTCTGATCCCGCATCTCCCCAGGGCTGGGTCTCCGCTCCCGGGCCTCCAGAGGCCCAGGCTTTCTCTCTG
The DNA here is from genome assembly GCF_000001405.40 of Homo sapiens. Taxonomy (NCBI): domain Eukaryota; kingdom Metazoa; phylum Chordata; class Mammalia; order Primates; family Hominidae; genus Homo; species Homo sapiens. The sequence goes on from NT_167244.2 coordinate 2,015,198, forward strand.
CTAGCAGCTCTTCACTCCGTTGTTGTTGCTGCTGCTGCTGCTGCCGCTCCTGCCGGATGAATCGGTTCTGGTGCACTGGCCCGATGGCCTCCAGAAGGACCGCAGACTCATCCGGGTCTGGAGGTCCAGCCTCTACAGTCCCTAGCACAGGGCTAGGCTCCCCAGGGGACAGCCCAAGCTTGGCCCGGCGGCGCTCCAGGAGCCCTCGTTTCCAGGCTGGCATCTGGGACAGGCGCTCCCGTTCTGCTTTCTCTCGGCCTCGAACGGACGCCTCCTCCTGCCGGCGCCGGGCTAGCAGCTGTAGCTTCCAGTCTGGGATGGTGGCCATGGTCGTCTTGAGGTGAGGGTAGGGAGCACTGGGGACAGAGAACAGGAAGGAGAGGCTCCAGAGAGTGAGACAGCCCGGGGGTGAGACTGAGGGTGGGAGGAGAGGAAGTGGAGGGGGAGAGGTGGGACACAAAGCAGGGCAGAGGGGCTAAGGATGAGGACAGAGGGAAAGACGGAAGGCAGAGAACTGGGGAAATGGAAAAAGTGAAGAGAAGTTGTGAGCCCAAGTTGGGGGTGGTGGGGGTGATGTGAGAGGAAGAGTCCGGATTGGAGGCAATGAGGGCAGGAGCCAGATGTGGCAGCACAGGGTTAATGCGTATTAAAGACCGTCTCTAGGATGTGAGAAAGAGAGAGAAGGGCGAAAAGGAAAGTTGGCGTGAGGGAGAAGAGAGAAATGTGGCAGGGGTGAGGGGAACCTGGGTGCAGGCCAGGCTGCCTCAGCGATACCCCAGGGAGGCTAGTGTGGGAAGGAAGGACCAGGAATCCCTGAAAGGACCAGGAGGCAACGGGACCTGAGGGGGTGTTGGGGAGGCAAGGAGGGGCGGAGAGCGAACAGGTCTAGAGGAGAAGGGAAACCAGGGAAGAGGGGAAAGGAGGGCGGCGGCAGCAGCCGGGCGCGTCTCAGCGCGGGCCCCAAAGGTCCCGGCTCCGCTTCCAGCACCGCTCGGGCCACGCCTCTCCCCAGCCCCCACCCCTCTGCCCCGCACTCCGCCCCCGAGGCGGGTCGGGGGAAATACCCACCCCCGAGACTTTCGGAACCCGGGCGTCAGGGCTGCCAGCGCGTTCCCAGAACCCTGGCGTCCACCCCCACCCTGTCCTGTCACCACCGCCTGCCTCCCCCACCGACTGCCCCACGCGACCCCAGAGTGCCAAGGGCCGGCTCCATGTCTCTTCTCCCCGGCGCCTGCAAGTCCTGCGCCCCGTCCCCGCTCTCATGAAGCCGTGACAGAGCCGGCCGTCTCCACCCCGCTGTAGCCGCACAGACTGACAATCTCGGCACAAAGAGGAGACAGCCAAGGTCCGGGCCAGGGACGGGAGCAAGGACAGGGGCGAGGAGACACCCACTCCCCAAGTCTGAGCCCCTCAGTCAACTCACAGGCCGCGGGACCCCCGGGGGAGGGGGTGCGGAGGAGCCGGGCGTCCAGAGAGAGGAAGAGGAGGAGAGAGGGACCGAGGGAGATCCGGAGACTGGAGGGAGGGGAGGAGGGAGGGAGAGGAGGAGGGAAAGAGGCAGCAAAGGAGGAGGGACGGAGACAGAGACCAGGGGGCCGGGCGGGGGCGGCGACCGCTTTGTCTAAGGACAATGAGGAGAGGGAAGGGGGCGCAGGGCGGAGCCGAGGAGAGGGCGGGGCCTAGATCCCTCCCACCCCGCGTGGGACTCGCTGCGGGACTGCCCTCTTCTCGCCCCAACCACTGGTCCTCCGCTCTGTCCCCAGGGGCCCTCACCAGCTTCCCGCCCGGACACGCCAGGTGTCCAGATCCCTTCCCCCAGCTCGCCGACCCAGGGCGGTGGCCCGTGACTCAGGCCCCTCGTGGGACTTTGGGAGGAAGCGGCAGCTGCTCCGAGCGGGGCCCGCCCTTCCCATCTCCTGCCGCTCCTCCCTACGCTTTTGCCTTCTCATCTGGGTCTGTAGGTCCAGCCTCTGAAGTCCTTTGTTTTGCGGGGTCGAGGGCAGCCGCCAGGCTGTGGGGGGCTTTGTGGATGGGCGGCAGGAGAGGCGCTCAGAAGCCAGAGGTTTTGGATGCTCCCTCCCCTACCAGAGCTGCTGCCCCGACTCTTTCTAGCTTCAACCTGTCTCCCTTGGGTCTACAGGTCGGCTGCCGGGAAAAAGGGGATTTGAAGGAATGGGAATGGGGACCCGGCCGCTCTGGCAAAGTGGGGGCGGGTCTGCGGGGGTGGCCGAACCCCAGCGGTTGCCAGAGGGCGTGGTGGCTGCCCAGACTCCAGTTCGGTGCTCCCAGGCTCCCTCTGGCTTTCTTTCCCAAACTCAGCCCTGTAGCTTGGGAGACACTGACAGACTGCATGCCATATGTAGAAAAAGGCTGACTTTTATTTTCCTGCAGAGCATCTTCCTCGGGAGAGCAGGGAGCCCCAAGTCATCGAGTTAAGAGCAGGAGAATCCCCTTGACTAGGTTGGGGTCTGAGCCCAGAGGCAGGGCCTAAGGAGGTGCAGAGACTAGGGCCGGGAGTGGTGAGGCAAGGTTGGGGCCTGGAGGGACAGCTATGACCGTTGAACTTGCAGACCCTGGTCCACCTTCTTGGAGTGGAAGCCAGCGGTGCAGAAGGGGACCCCTGAGGCGCAGAGGCAAGTAACAGTGCCAGGGGAGTGGTCAGGGCAGATCCTTTCCTTCTCAGGAGGCTGTTGAGGGGGAGAGTGTCATGCTCTAAACAGTGAAGGGACAGATGACTTCCATACCCCACTCTTCCTTGCTGGTGAGAAGTGGACCTTGGAGTTCAGTGGCTGAAACTCAGAATTTAGGGTATGGAGCTGGACCCAGAGAATAAAGTCTCAAGTAGTAGAAGGGGCATCTCCTTCAGTCCATGGATTTGGGCCTCTGGCATGAAGCAGCCAGGGCCTGGATGTTAAGGATTTAGAATTCAGTGGGAGAGGAAGAACAGGGCTTGTAACCAGAGTGAGCTCCTCACTCTGCCTCCCCATCCTGGGGCCGAGAGAGCAGGTGGAGTTTTCTTTGTAGCTGGGCCCGGAGGTAGCGGAGGTCTTGCTGATCAAGCCCGTGAGCCAGGCCCAGGTAGAGGGTAAGGAGGAAAGCAAGGAGGAGACGGTCCGTGCCCAGGGTAGGCACCACCCACAGCACTGTCAGCAGCTCCACACACACTGGGTGGCGCAGGTGGGAGAAGAGTCTGAGAGCCCGGGGAGACTTCAGGGCCAGAGGCTCGCCCAGCCCCAGCACATGGTAGTATACCTAAGAGAGGGAGAAGAGCTTAGAAATGGAGTCAAGCCCTTTTCTCATCTTGGGCACTTCTTTCCTCCTCTTCCAGGCACCACCCTTCTAGAACTCAGGCCCAGGAACCCCCCTTCTGAGACTTGGATCCCTGATCCTGACTTCTGATCCATGTACCTTCCCCAGGCCCAGGAGGCCCATGCTTGCTGCCCTTACGAGGGAAAGTCAAAGGGAAGGGCCACGAGGGAGAAGCAGGGAGACAGTAGAAGAGCATGGGAGGAGGGAAACCCTTGAAAGGGAACGAGGAGTTCTAAAACGGGTCAGAGGTCATAGGTAGGGATCTCGGAGCCTCACCTGTTTGAGGCCCATGAGCTCAGCATAGTCAAAGACGAGAAGGATGCTAAAGATGAGGAGCCAGGAGATGACATGGAGCACAAAGCAGAGGAGCGGCACCCAGGTGGCCCATGGCTCAGCCCGAGCCTCCCACAACACAGGGCCTTTGGGTATGGGCTCCCAGTACCGCATCACCAGCTGTGGAAGGATAAGGGGCTGGGTATCCCAGTGGCCTAGTCTGCCCGACCTTGGGAGACCCAGACCCAGATCTGCCCCCACCACAGGCTAGCCTGCAACTCTCCCCCACCTCTCTCCTAAGCATCACCACCAAATATTCACCATGTGGAGGGTGCGTGCTGGGTGAGGTCCCAAAGATGTAAGGATGGCCTGTCTCTACCCTGAGAACTTATAGAATAGATGGGGTGACCTGATAGCTACGCAAAGTAGTAGCCTGTGCCAACCACCCAGTGAAAAGACAGACAAGGCCTTCTCTTCAGACCTAGGGAAGTGGTTTTGAAGAAAGGGTAGGACTGAAGAGAAGGGATCTCAAGCAGGACATAAACAAAGTTGCAGAGGTGAGAAGCATATCTTGTGCTTAGGGAAGGACAAGTACACCCTTCTTGATAAAAAGTAGGATATGTGCTGTGGAGGAATGGAAGCTGAGATTAGTTCCTCAATTCTCCTCCTGAACCCATATTTTGCCCCTCCAATCCACGGCACCCCTCCCACACTTGGTCTCCCTTGGGGACTCAACTGCCAGGATTTCATACCTGCAAGGCCAGGGCCTCATACCTGCAAGGCCAGGGCAGTGCAGGCCACATACAGTGACCTCTGAAGGACCCCAAAGTACCGGGATGTCCATGCCTTCACTCTTTCAGCTGCCATGAGGCTGTGCTGCCCAACAAATAGAAGCAGGAGCCCCAGATCCCATGCCAGGGGGGCAAGGATGCTGCGGTCCTGCAGGGCAGCCAGCCATCCCTGGCGGGCATCTACAGGAAGTTGAGGGAAAAAGAGACAAAAGATCGAAACAGTGGCAGAATGTTTCCCCCACCCTCATCTCCTCTTGGATCCCCAGGCCATGTCCCTTACTGCTTTCAAGAGCCTTAATGCTTCCTCTCTAGGCTGTGCCCATCTCACTTTTCCATCCCTAGTTTCTGCCCTCTTCCCTAGGCCTCCTGCAAACCTGGGGAAGAGGATTTATAGAACAACACATGTTAGGCAGTTGCAAAAAGCATGGCTGGAGAGGCCACGCTGGATTGCCCCTCTTACTTCGGTTCTCCAAATGCTCCTTCTTTTTAACACTCTCCTCTCAACAGTCCTCTCTACAAAACACTTTACTTAGAATACTCCGGTCACCGCCCTTTTCGGCTCCCTCAGTCCTCACTCTCCCGCCTCTCCAAAACTCTAATCCTTGAGTTCCTAATTTAGAACTCAGGTCTCCCTCCCCTGTAGCTTCTCGGCCGCTTTCAAGGTTCGAGTTCCCTCTCTTGGACTTCCCCTGTCATTTGTTTCCAAGCCCCGCCCTCAATCCCTCTCCTACGGCTCCACCTTCCTCCTCCCAGTTCATCCTCGATCCCTCCCGCTCACCCGGACCACCAGACTCCGGGATCCCTCCAAGAAGTGGCCGAAGGGAGGTAAAGCGCACGAACTCCACTCCGGTGCCAAAGGCCAGGATGAAAGAGGCGAGGGCAGCAGGGATCAGGAGCAGTGCAGGGGCCATGGCGAGAAATGGAGGGGTGGGGAAAGGGGCGGGGTCGGGATTCCCGCTGCCACAGGCCCCGCCCGCGGCCCCGCCCCCGGCTGAATCCAGCCCAGGAGGGCGGGGCTCCTGCACGCCACCGCCAGGCTTCCGGCCCGCCTGGCGCAGCCTTCCCCATCCAGCTGTGGATCCGTCCTGGGATGCGTGTCCCGGCCTGCTGTCTCTCCGTCACAGAAGGGAATGTTAGAATCCCGAGAGAGAGCTGTTAAGGGTAGCGGCTCTGCAGCCGCTCACGTGGGTTGAATCTCAGCTCGTCTAGTTTTCCCATCTAAAATGAAAAGTTACTGTTTTACCACAAAATAAATTAATGTATGGAATACATTGTACAGAATACAATATACAGAATAAATTCTGTAACTTACTATAAAGTTGAGTTGTTGACTGGCCAGTTGCTAAGAATGGCAAATAACTTCTCTGTAAATACTGAAAGGTTTGTTGTAATAGTGCCAGAGATTGTTGATTAGTAACCACGAGAATAAACATGTTAAAATATTTGTGATAGTAACCTTTGTCAGAATTAAAGATCATGCAGCTAAGGACCTTGTCACAGTAGACGTACACATAGTAGGGACCTTAGATATCATTAGACTAATTCCATCAACTTATAGATAGAAGAAACAGGTCCAGAGAGATAATTGCCTGAGTTAGGAAGCTGCTAATCCTGTAGGCTAAGGGACCAGATAATTGCTGAGCAGCCTCTCGCAGGCTTTACATTCCTTCTCCGTCTCCTGGGCTCAGTACTCCCACCCTCCTCTGAATCAATGCTGTTGTATGCTGTACCAGACATCTTATGTTTTCCCTTGAATTCAGTCTCCACCCTGCTTTCTGCTTCAGTAAGTTGTCCCAAATGGACGGTATCAATGAAAGTCACAGTTTTTATTGAGAAAGTCCTCTCGCCGGGCGCGGTGGCTCACGCCTGTAATCCCAGCAGTTTGGGAGGCCGAGGCGGGTGGATCACGAGGTCAGGAGATCGAGACCACGGTGAAACCCCGTCTCTACTAAAAATACAAAAAAAATTAGCCGGGCGCGGTGGCGGGCGCTTGTAGTCACAGCTGCTCAGGAGGCTGAGGCAGAAGAATGGCGTGAACCCGGGAGGCAGAGCTTGCAGTGAGCCGAGATCGCGCCACTGCACTCCAGCCTGGGCGACAGAGCAAGACTCCATCTCAAAAAAAAAAAAAAAAAAAAAGAAAAGAAAAAAAAAAAAAGAAAGTCCTCTCTACACGACTGCTCTGTCCTCATCTTTTTGAGCTTGGAGGTGATCACAACAGAGCTGTGGGTACTAAGGCACTGCACTATTCTTTCTGATTTCCCTACACCCTGCCTACTTCTTTGTAATTATCACTTTATTAAACTCTCCCCCAAATTATCCTAATTTCACTGTGCTATTCATTTCCTGCTAGGACCATGAATAGAGACACTTACCACACAAAGCAATGTGCTACAAGCTATGGGGTTCATTGGAAGTGTAAGAGGCCAGACTCGGTGGCTCACGCCTGTAATCCCAGCAATTCGGGAGGCTGAGGTGGGTGGATCACTTTAGACCAGAAGCTGGAGACCAGAATGGCCAACGTGGTGAAACCCCATTTCTACTAAAAAATTTTAAAAATTAGCTGGGTGTGGTGGTATGCGCCTGTAATCCCAGCTACTTGGGAGGCTGAGGCAGGAGAATCCACTGGGTGATGGAGCAAGATTCTGTCTCAAACAAAAAAATAAATAAATAAAATACAAGGAAGTGTAAGAAAAGATCCCTAATCTCTAGATGTTTAACCTGAGGCATTTAAATAGTACCACTCATGAAGAGGGAGTGTAGCTGAGTGCTACATGGTGCTCTACAGACAGCAGGTATGGTAAGAAATCAAGGTCTCTGGCTGGGCGCAGTGGCTCACAGCTGTAATCCCAGCACTTGGGAGGCCGAGGCAGTTGGATCATCTGAGGTCAGGAGTTTGAGACCAGCCTGGCCAACATGGTGAAACCTCGTCTCCACTTAAAAGACAAAAATTAGCCAGGTGTGGTGGCAGGAGCCTGTAATCCCAGCTTCTCGGGAGGCTGAGGCAGGAGAATCGCTTGAACCCGGGAGGTGGAGGTTGCGATAAGCTGAGATCTCGCCACTGGACTCCAGCCTGGGTGACAGAGTGAGACTCCGTCTCAAAAAAAAAAAAAAGGAGCTGGGCGCGGTGGCTCATGCCTGTTATCCCAGCACTATGGGAGGCCTAGGTGGGTGGATCACGAGGTCAGGGGTTAGAGACCAGCCTGACCAACATGGCGAAACCCCGTCTCTACTAAAAATACAAAAATTAGCCGGGTGTGGTGGCACACACCTGTAGTCCCAACTACTTGGGAGGCTGAGGCAGGAGAATTGCTTGAACCTGGGAGGCGGAGGTTGCAGTAAGCCGAGATCGCGCCACTGCACTCCAGCCTGGGCAACAGAACAAGACTCCATCTCAACAACAACAACAACAAAAAAAGGAGCCGGGTGCAGTGGCTCACGCCTGTAATCCCAGCACTTTGCGAGGCCAAGGTGGGTGGATCACCTGAGGTCGGGAGTTCGAGACCAGCCTGACCAACATGGAGAAACCCTGTCTCTACCAAAAATACAAAATTAGCTGGGCGTGGTGGTGCATGCCTGTAATCCCAGCTACTCAGAAAGCTGAGGCAGGAGAATCACTTGAACCCGAGAGGCGGAGGCTGCAGTGAGCCGAGATCACGCCATTGAACCCAGCCTGGGCAACAAGAGTGAAACTCTGTCTCAAAAAAAAAAAAAAAAAAATGGAAAGAAAGAAATCAGGGCCTCCGGGACATGGACAATTTTAGAGTATGAAAGCTTTGAGTTGTGCAAGGGGACTAATATTTATCTGGGTCATACTGTCTGCCACCCCCACAATGGCTGTGCTTAATGTATATTATGAGATTAGATATGTTTAATAGCCAGCAAAATGCTTGGCAAATCTCATGCTATTTCTACTACACCAAAGTTTTCCAAACTTAAGTATTACTTACATGCAGAAAAGTGTACATAAGTAATCAACTATTTTTTAAAAATTGAAATTCATGCAACATAAAATTAACCTTTTTTTTTTTTGAGTTGCGGTCCAGGCTGGAGTGCAGTGGTATGATCACAGCTCACTGCAACCTCGAACTTCTGGGCAAATGGTCCTCTTGCCTCAGCCTCCTGAGTAGTTGGGACTACAGGCATGCGCCACCACATTCAGCTAACTTTTTATTTTTTGTAGTGATGGGGTCTCACTATGATACCCAGGTTGGTCTCAAACTCCTTGGCTCAAGTGATCCTGCTGCCTTAGCCTCCCAGGGTGCCACCATGCCTTGCCTAACCACTTTATTGTATTTATTTATTTATTTATTTTTGAGACAGAGTTTCGCTCTTATTGCCCAGGCTGGAGTGCAATGGCGCGATCTTGGCTCACTGCAACCTCCGCCTCTTGGGTTCATGTGATTCTCCTGCCTCAGCCTCCCAAGTAGCTGGGATTACAGGCGCCCACCACCACATCTGGCCAATTTTTGTATTTTTAATAGAGATAGGGTTTCACCATGTTGGCCAGGCTAGTCTCAATCAAACTCCTGACCTCAGGTGATCCACCCACCTTGGCCTCCCACAGTGCTGGGATTACAGGCGTGAGCCACCACACCCGGCCTAGCCTAACCACTTTAAAGAGAATAATATAATGGTATTTAGTACATTAGTATATTAGTAATAGGTACAACCACCACCTCTATCTAATTTCAAAACATTTTTTTTTTGAGATGGAGCTTTGCTCTTATTGCCCATGCTGGAGTGCAATGGCTGATCTCCGCTCACTGCAACCTCTGCCACCCAGGTTCAAGCAATTCTCCTGCTCAGCCTCCCAAGTAGCTGGGATTACAGGCATGTGCCACCACGCCTGGCTAATTTTGTATTTTTAGTAGTGACAGGGTTTCACCATGTTGGTCCAGCTAGTCTCGAACTCCTGACCTCAAGTGATCCACCTGCCCCAGCCTCCCAAAGTGCTGGGATTACAGGCATGAGCCACCACGCTGGGCCTTCAAAACATTTTCATCACCCCCAAATAAAACTCCATACCCATGAAGTTACTCCCCATTTTCTCATCTCCCCCACCCCACAGCCACTGGCAACCACAAATCTGCTCTTGTTCTCTATGGGTTTACCTATTCTGGATATTCCTTACATGTGTAATCACATAATATGTGTTCTGTTTCTGGCTTTCCTTCACTTAGCAAAATATTTTGATATTCATCCTCAAAATATTGTAGCATATATCAGTATTTCATCCTTTTCTATGGTTGAATAATATTTGATTATATGGATATATCACAATTGTTTATCCACTCATTTGCTGATGAATATTTGTGTTGTTTCCACCTTTTTGGCTATTGTAAAAAGTGCTGATATGAACACTCACGTACAAGAATTTGTTTGAATAACTGTTTTCTTTTCCTTTTTTTTTTTTTTTTTTGGAGACAGAGTCGTGCTCTGTTACCCAGGCTGGAATGTAGTTGCACAATCATGGCTCATTGCAGCCTTGACCTCCTCCCACCTCAGCATTCCAAGTAGCTGGGATTACAGGCATGTGCCACCACACCTGGCTAAATTTTTTTTTTTTTTTTGAGAGAGAGTCTTTCTCTGTCACCCAGGCTGGAGTGCAGTGGCATGATCTCAGCTCACTGCAACCTCTGCTTCCCGGGTTCACGTGATTCTGCAGCCTCAGCCTCCCCAGTAGCTGGGATTACAGCCACATGCCACCATGCCCAGCTAATTTTTTTATTATTATTATTATTATTTTTTGAGACAGAGTCTCCCTCTATAGCCAGGCTCGAGTGCAGTGGCATGATCTTGGCTCACTGCAAACTCTGACTCTCTGGTTCAAGTGATTCTTCTGCCTCAGCCTCACGAGTAGCTGGGACTACAGGCGCACGCCACCACGCCCAGCTAATTTTTGTATTTTTAGTAGAGAGGGGGTTTCACCATGTTGGACAGGATGGTCTTGATCTCCTGACCTCATGATCCACCCGCCTCAGCCTCCCAAAGTGTTGGGATTACAGGCGTGAGCCACCAGGCCCAGTTAATTTTTTTTTTTTTTTAGACGGAGTTTTGCTCTTGTTGCAACGGCATGATCTTGGCTCACCACAATCTCCACCTCCCAGGTTCAAGTGATTCTCCTGCCTCAGCCTCCGGAGTAGCTGGGATTACCGGCATGCACCACCACGCCCAGCTAATTTTGTATTTTTTAGTAGAGACGGGTTTCTCCATGTTGGTCAGGCTGGTATCGAACTCCTGACCTCAGGTGATCCAACCACCTTCGGCCTCCCAAAATGCTGGGATTACAGGCATGAGCCACCACACCCGGCTAATTTTTGTATTTTTTAGTAGAGATGGGGTTTTGCCATGTTGGCCAGGCTCGTCTTGAACTCCTGACCTCAGGTGATCTACCCACCTTGCCTCCCAAAGTGCTAGGATTATAGGCGTGAGCCACCGCACCTAGCCCATTTTTGTATTTTTTGTAGTGACAGGGTTTTGCCATGTTGCCCAGACTGGTTGCCCGTGAAGTCCTGGGCTCATGCAATCCTCCCACTTTGGCCTCCCAAACTGCTGGGATTATAGGCATAAGCCACCCCACCCAGCCTGGACACCTGATTTAAATTCTTTTGGGTGTACACCTAGGAGCAGAATTGCTGGACTGTTCGGTAATTCCGTATTTAACTTTCTTTTTTTTCCTCCAATTTGAGAGCAGGTACTGCTTAAGTGCTTAGATTAGAAAAACAATCACAGTAGACACCTTAGCTCATTCTTCTAATAAGTCTGTTGATCCGGTTCTCCCTGTTGCCAGCATGTCCACTTTCTACAAAATGGGTGGTCTTTTTCTTTACTCTACCTTGTGGAGAGGATAATTTGAAGGGCTACAGGAAGTTATTTGCTTCTTTGAAGCATTTTCCAACAGTATAGATCTCAAGAATCAGATCCTCCATGCAGGTGATGCCATATTTACCAAGAGATAAAGCAATCAAAGTGTCATCTGTCAAAGCAATTTGCTTCTTATTGATTTTTGCCATAACCATGCTGGTAGATTAGTTCATTTACTGACTTCAGCTTTGGGTACCCCCATGCCATATATGGTTCTACAATCCTCAGCATGTTCATTGAAGCCTTGTTGAGCTTCACAAAGGTTCCACTGAAGATTTAACAAAGGCGAAGAAGCTGCAACACCTTTCGGACCTTTGGGTTCACACCACTGATACCTCTGATCCTGATGACAAACGGCAATTTGGGTTTTGCAGGTACATAGAAGTTGCCAGCTTTTCTGGCCATCCTAGCCATTCGAATTTCAGTTCTGTACATCTGCCTATATTCCTTGTGATAGTGCTTCACTTTTTCATAGATAAGCTTCCTCCTTGCCTTTTGAATCATCTTTTGGGCAAATTTCTTTCTCGGGCCTTTGATCTTCAGCTCTGGGAAATTCCTTCGCTTTTTAAGGGTTTCTGGCATAGCAAGAACCTCCTTCTTTTTCTCTCTCTTTTTTTTTTTAAGACGGGGTCTTGCTCTGTCTCCCATGCTGGAGTGCAATGGTGCGATCTCGACTCAATGCAACCTCCCCCTCCTGCATTCAAGCAATTCTCCTGCCTCAGCCTCCTGAGTAGCTGGGATCACAGGGGCTGGCCACCATGCCCGGCTAATTTTGTTTTGAATTTTTAGTAGAGACGGGGTTTTGTCATGTTGGCCAGCCTGGTCTTGAACTCCTGACCTCAGGTGACCTGCCCACCTCGGCCTCCCAAAGTGTTGGGATTACAGGTGTGAGCCACTGCACCCCGGCCCTCTCCTTCTTATCTACAACACTCTACATGAGGGTTCCAGCCAGAAAAGAGGCTACTTTTTTTTTTTTGTTTTTTTTTTGAGAGGGAGTCTCGCTCTGTCGCCAGGCTGGAGTACAGTGGAGCAGTCTTGGCTCACTGCAACCTCCACCTCCCGGGTTCAAGCGATTCTCCTGCCTCAGCCTCCCGAGTAGCTAGGACTACAGGCGCCTGCCACCACGCCTAGCTAATTTTTTGTATTTTTAGTAGAGACGGGGTTTCTCCATGTTAGCCAGGATGGTCTCAATCTCCTGATCTTGTGATCTGCCCACCTTGGCCTCCCAAAGTGCTAGGATTACAGGGGTGAGCCACCACGCCTGGCCTTTTTTTTTTTAGATGGAGTCTTGTTCTGTTGCCCAGGCTGGAGTGCAGTGGCACGATCTCAGCTCACTGCAACCTCCACTTCCCGGGTTCCAGCAATTCTTCTGCCTCAGCCTCCCAAGTAGCTGGGATTGCAGGCACATGCCACCACGCCCGGCTAATTTTTGTATTTTAAGTAGAGACGGGATTTCACCATGTTGGCCAGGCTGGTCTCTAACTCCTGACCTCAGGTGATCCACCTGTCTTGACTTCCCAAAGTGCTGGGATTACAGGCATGAGCTGCCGTGACTGGCCTTTTATTTTTTTGAGACAAGGTCTCACTCTGTTGCCCAGGCTGAAGTGCAGTGGCTCGTGTCCACCCACTGCAGCCTTGACCTCCTGGGCTCAAACGATTTTCCTCTTAGCCTCCCAAGTAGCTGGGACCATAGGTGTGTGCCACCATGCCCAGTGAATTTTTGTATTTTTGGTAGAGACGAGGTTTTGTCATGTTGCCCGGCTGGCCGTGAACTTCTGAGCTCAAGTGATCTGCCAGCCTTGGCCTCCAAAGTGCTGGGATTACATGTGTGAGCCACTGTGCCCATCCATATGTTTAACTTTTTGAGGAACCATCAAACTGTTTACCACAGAGGCTGAACCATTTAACATTCCTACCAGCAATGTATAAGGATTCTAATTTCTCCACATCCTTGTAATCAACCAACTTTTAAAATTTAAATCTGGCTGGGCACGGTGGCTCAAGCCTGTAATCCCAGCACTTTTGGAGGCTGAGGTGGGTGGCTCACTTGAGGTCACGAGTTAGAGACCAGCTTGGGCAACATGACAAAACCTCGTCTCTACCAAAAATACAAAATTCATCGGGCATGGTTGCACACACCTATGGTCCCAGCTACTTGGGAGGCTGAGAGGAAAATCGTTTGAGCCCAGGAGGTCAAGGCTGCAGTAAGCCGACATCGAGCCACTGCACTTCAGCCTGGGCAACAGAGTGACACCTTGACTCAAAAAGATAAAAGGCCAGTCATGGCGGCTCATGCCTGTTATCCCAGCACTTTGGGAAGTCAAGACAGGTGGATCACCTGAGGTCAGGAGTTCGAGACCAGCATGGCCAACATGGTGAAACCCCGTCTCTACTACAAATACAAAAATTAGCCGGGTGTGGTGGCATGTGCCTGTAATCCCAGCTACTCGGGAGGCTGAGGTGGGTGGATCACTTGAGGTCAGAAGTTAGAGACCAGCCTGGGCAACATGACAAAACCTCATCTCTACCAAAAATACAAAAATTTAGTAGAGCCCCGTCTCTACTAAACAATAAAAAAAAGAAAATTAGCCAGGCATGGTGGTGTGTGCCTGCAGTCCTAGCTACTCAGGAGGCTGAGGTGGGACTATTGCTTGAACTGGGAGGTGGAGGTTGCAGTGAGCCAAGATGGTGCCACTGCACTCCAGCCTAGGTGACAGAGATGAGACCCTGTCTCAAGAAAAAAAAAAAAATCTTAAGAAATGTCATACAAATTGTCCTAAATAGAAGATAATGATGAATTAAATACAAGTCTATGACTTTTTTTTTTTTAAGTTTGTGTCTTGAGACCTAGACATTTTAAAAAACTACACTACACCATAAGGCACAGAGTGAATATTTATTTATCACAGAGGTCAAGCCGAAGCTCTAATTTTATAAATCCTGGAAAAGCTGGCCAGAAAAGTACAGAGACTTGCCCAAAGTCAAAGCTAAAGATGCTTCCAGAGGCCAGGAGAGAAGAAAATGTTTTAGTAGCACTCCATAACTGGACCCTCAAATCTACTCACTCCAAGCATCCCTTCAAGTTCCTGACCCCAAAGTAAGAATCTCAGTAAGAAAAAAATAGAGATGGTTTCCAAATAGGAGGTAGGACACCATGAGTGGCATCGAGCAATAACTGCAACAGTCTGGCTAAAGATAGCTGCCACTTATGACATCTGAGCATGAAACTAGCTAATTTTAAAATGGCCATTTAATACATGCATGTAAGAAATCTTGTATCCCCTAAATCTATACAAATAAAAAACTATAAATACAAATAAAATAAAATGGCCATTAAAAAAACAAACAAACAAACAAAAAACAACCTGTGGCTTCCAAATCCCTTATCTTTTCATTTATTCATAAAGATTTCTGGTCCCACCCATGTTCCAGGACAAGTTGTATCAATATACCCCAATCCTTTCTAACGCCCTGAGTTCTTTCTTCCACATATCTTCTAATTCGTGGTCTGGGAGGGAAAAGGGTAGTGGAGTTCTCAGGTGGATGACATCTCCAAAGGGGAGAGGACAAAGGCCTCTGGCTTGGCTTCCTGCTTCAGCACTCCAGTCAGCAGGAACTCAGGCGAGAGGAGGGGCAGCCCAACCCGTAGTGGAATGGAGCAATGAGGGAAGTCCTGAGGGCATGTGATCACAACTCTCTGAGGCTGGGGAAGACAGAGCAAAGGCAAAATCAGGTGAAAAAGAATCCTAGAAATGGGTTCAGGACCCACTAACCAGTCTTACCATCACTAAAATAATACCTCCTAATATGAAGCCAAGTGAAGCACACCGCATACTGTCTATGAAATACTCTTGCTAGGCCGGGCGCAGTGGCTCATGCCTGTAATTACACAGCACTTTGGGAGGCTGAGGCGGGTGGATCACGAGGTCAGGAGATCAAGACCACGGTGAAACCCTGTCTCTACTAAAAATACAAAAAAAAAAAAAAAAAAAAAATTAGCCGGGCGCGCTGACGGGTGCCTGTCGTCCCAGCTACTCGGGAGGCTGGGGCAGGAGAATGGCGTGAAAACCCAGGAGGCGGAGCTTGCAGTGAGCCGAGATCGCGCCACTGCACTCCAGCCTGGGCTACAGAGCAAGACTCCATCTCAAAAGAAAAAAAAAAAGAAAAAAAAAAAAGAAATACTCTTGCTAGAGGCCAGGCACAGTGGCTCACGCCTATAATCCCAGCACTTTGGGAGGCCGAGGTGGGTGGATCACGAGGTCAAGAGATCGAGACCATCCTGGCCAACATGGTGAAACCCCGTCTTTAGTAAAAATAAAAAAATTAGCTGGGCGTGGTGGTGTGCGCCTGTAGTCCCAGCTACTCGGGAGGTTGAGGCAGGAGAACAGCTTGAACCCGGGAGATGGAGGTTGCAGTGAGCCAAGACTGCTCCACTGTACTCCAGCCTGGCGACAGAGTGAGACTCTCTCAAAAAAAAAAAATACTTTTGCTAGAAAGATGAACCTGAATTTATTCAAGCTTTTACAATTATCTGCAATTTCCAGGAAATATGGAGTACAGAGGAACAAGATAAATTATATGACAAGGAGGCAAACCCAAAATTCCAGACTGAGGAACATTCTAAAGGACAAGTGACCCAGCTTCTGCAGGAAATAGATGGCATAAAAAAAGCTGGGTGGGTTAAGGGATGCTCTAGAGTAAAGATAATTAAGAAGATAATAGGTGTGGCAGTATGTGGACCTTATTTGAATCCTGATTTGAACAACTGTATAGAGACATTTTTCAGACAATGGGAGAAATTTTATTAATGGAGTGTGAGCAAATGACCAATAAACTACTGTTAATTTTGCTTAGGATCAATAATGGCATTGTGATTATGAAATAAAATGTACGTATTTCTTAGAGATATATATTTAAGTATGTAGGAAGAAATAATATAATATTGGCAGTTTGCTTTAAAATATTTCAGCAAAGAAAGAGAAAGGAAAAAAAGAAAGAATAAAGAAAAATAAAAAGAAATGAAATACTTCAGCAAAGAAAATCAAAGGAAAAAGCCGGGCGCGGTGGCTCACGCCTGTAATCCCAGCACTTTGAGAGGCCGAGGCGGGCAGATCATGACCTCAGGAGATCAAGACCATCCTGGCTAACACAGTGAAACCCCATCTCTACTAAAAATACAAAAGAATTAGCCGGGCGTGGTGGCGGGCACCTGTAGTCCCAGCTACTCGGGAGGCTGAGGCAGGAGAATGGTGTGAACCCAGGAGGCGGAGATTGTAGTGAGCCGAGATTGTGCCACTGCACTCCAGCCTGAGAGTGAGACTCCATCTCAAAAAAAAAAAAAAAAAAAAAAGAGAAAATCAAAGGAAAAAAGGGATAGATGGAGCAAATGTAGCATAATCTAAATTAAGCTGCTGCTGAATCTCGGTGATTGTTATATGGGGGTATCAGCAGATCTGTCCCCTCATTCCTATCCCTTTCTATACCATAGGTCTTTTCCCCCACCCTCTCACTACTTTATATTCCTTTCTGAACCTCCATTTTTTTCCCTCCAATCTTTGCCATTCCAGCCACCTCTTTAACTGCCACTGCCACCTCACCCAGACCCAGAACATCCTAAGCATACCTTATAGGACCGAGGCATGCTGGGTAGGTATGTGCCTCCACAGCAGCTAATAATCTCTCCCATCTGAGGTGGTGGTGGCTGGACTCCAGGGGTCACATAGATCTCATAGCCCTAAGAGAAAGAAATGATGGAGATGGTATTGTAGATTGGGAAGCACTGGAGGGAGGGCTGAAGCACAGGTTAAAAGATAGCCTCTCACCTCTAGCAGCCTTCGCTCCCGAGCCCTGCTCAGTGCGTCTTGAAGGCTAAAGCCAAAGTTCTTCTCTTGCTCAGGGTCGGTCACCACATATTCATCCGGGGGTAAGAAGAAACCAGCCTTGCGGGACTAAGGACGGCAGCAGTCAGCATCAAAGCTCAGCCCAGCCCCTCAATCAGCTCTGCTGCCTAGCATTTAGAGAGAGCTCACAAAATGTCTTTTAAATCAATGCAGGCTTCTGGCTCACCAATGCCCCTGTCTTCCTGTAACGCCTCTTCCCTTCCACCACTTTCTAGGGCACTATATGAGCAGTCTTGCCACTATATCGGTCTGTCATCATCCCTTGGCCTCTCACCTGATGCAGCCAGTCCAGGGACAGAATGGGGATTCCCCGCCCCAGGGCACACAGGAACTTGACTGTCCGGCGGATGCGATCAGTGACCAGGTGGGAAGCCTCTGCCGCTGAACCAGCCAGACTTCCCCCCAGTGCCAGCACAGCCCGCTCTCCCCGAGCATCCACCACTCCTGTGAAGAGCACCTGTGGAAGGGTTGACCTGAGGTGGTTACGGCAACCCATGCCATCAGCACCCATCTCTACAATCCTCTAGGTCTCCTTGCATCCTCCCCTCATCTCTGTCTCCCACAAAGTCCCATGCCTTTGTCTCTTACTTTGGGGGCTGTTGATTCTTGGTTAAGTTTGGTCCGTCGGAGGCTGCGGCTTGGTATTCTGTTGGGCTCCTCCTCTGCCTGGTCTCTCTTTCTCTTGCCTGGTTTTGGAGTCACGACATCCTGAGATTGAGAAAAATCTTGGTGGGAGTTTCAGAGCCCTGAAGTCATTTTTCCCAGCTTTGTGGTCCCAACCCTCTCCTCACCTCTTCCTTCCCTGGCTTCTCTGCAGTATCTTCTTCCTCTTCCTTGATAATCACTGTCTTCTGGGAGACTTCCCCTCTTTGGGGCTGTTTTTGATGTGGTGGTGAATCCATGGTAGCTAAAGACCTCTTGCGGCTTTGAGAGGCCTTAGGCTGGAGCTCCGGGGTGAACCTAGATCTACCTGCTGGTTCCACCTTTTGGATCTGGGAGGCATGAATTGGTGTCTCAAGAAGCTGGGGAGAGGCAGGCTCAGGAATGGCTGTAAGGGATTCAGCTGCTCTCACTGCTCCCCATCTTTGGTTCCTTGAGGCCTGGGATTTAGGTTCCAAGGGTGCAGAGCAAGGCTTATGGTCAATGGGAGCTGCGAGGGAGCCAGGGTTCCCAGCGGCTCTCTGCCTCTTGATGCAACTGGGTTGAGTAATAGGCTCAGGGGAAATAGGCTGGTCTGTGGTGACAGGAGATTGGAATTCAGGGGTGGTAGGAACCGGCATAGCTCTTACTGTGGAAGACCTCAGTGTTTTGCTCTGACCACCCTGAGCTATGGCCTCAGGGGTGACGGACTGGTCTGTGGGGGTAAAAGGCTCAAGATCAGACGCTGCTGGTTCAACTGGTTTGGGAGTCTTGACAGAGGACCTATTTGTCTTTCTCCTAGTGGCCCTAGATGTGAGCTTGGGGGTGACAGGCTGGTCTGTGGAGGTGGTAGGATGGGGCTCAGGGGCTGTGGGGACAACTGGCTCAGGGGTCTTGACAGAGGACCTATTTGTCCTGCACCTAGTGGCCCGAGATGTGGGCTCAGGGGTGACAAGCTGGTTTCTGGAGGTGGAAGGCTGAAGCTCAGGGGCTATAGGGACAATTGATTCAGGGGTCTTGACAGAGGACCTATTTGTCCTGCCCCTAGTGGCCCGAGATGTGGGCTCAGGGGTGACAGGTTGGTCTGTGGAGGTGGAAGGCTGGAGCTCAGGGGCTGCGGGCACAACTGTTTCAGGGGTCTTGACAGAGGACCGATTTTTTCTTCCCCTAGTGGTCCGAGATGTGGGCTCAGAGGTGACAGGCTGGTCTGTGGAGGCGGAAGCCTGTAGCTCAGGGGCTGTGGGGACAACTGTTTCAGGAGTCTTGACAGAGGATCTATCTGTTCTTCCCCTAGTAGCCTGAGACGTAGGCTCAGGGGTAACAGGCTGGTCTGTGGAGGTGGAAGGCTGGAGCTCAGGGGCTGTGGGGACAACTGTTTCAGGGGTCTTCACAGAGGACCTATTTGTCCTGCCCCTGGTGGCCTGAGATGTGGGCTCAGGAGTGACAGGTTGGTCTGTGGAAGTGGAAGGCTCGAGCTTAGGGGCTGTGGGGACAAGTGTTTCAGGGGTCTTGCCAGAGGATCTATTTTTTCTTCCCCTAGTAGCCCGAGATGTGGGCTCAGGGGTGACAGGCTGCTCTGTGGAGGTGGAAGGTGGGAGCTCAGGGGCTATAGGGACAGTTGATTCAGGGTTCTTCACAGAGGACATATTTGTCCTGCTCCTAGTGGTCCGAGATGTGGGCTTAGGGGTGACAGGTTGGTCTGTGGAGGTGGAAATCTGGAGCTCAGGGGCTGTGGGGACAACTGTTTCAGGGGTCTTGACAGAGGACATATTTGTCCTGCTCCTAGTGGTCCGAGATGTGGGCTTGGGGGTGACAGGTCGGTCTGTGGAGGTGGAAGGCCGGAGCTCAGGGGCTGTGGGCACAACTGGTTCAGGGGTCTTGACAGAGGATCTATTTTTTCTTCCCCTAGTAGCCTGATATGTGGGCTCAGAAGTGACAGGCTGGTCTGTGGAGGTGGAAGGCTGGAGCTCAGGGGCTGTGGGGACAACTGGTTCAGGGGTCTTGACAGAGGATCTATTTTTTCTTCCCCTAGTAGCCTGAGAGGTGGGTTCAGAGGTGACAGGTCGGTCGGTGGAGGTGGAAGGCTGGAGCTCAAGGGCTGTGGGCACAACTGTTTCAGGGGTCTTGACAGAGGATCTACTTTTTCTTCCCCTAGTAACCTGAGATGTGGGCTCAGAGGTGACAGGCTGGTCTGTGGAGGTGGAAGGCTGGAGCTCAGGGGCTGTGGGGACAACTGGTTCAGGGGTCTTGACAGAGGACCTATTTGTCCTGCTCCTAGTGGCCTGAGATGTGGGCTTGGGAGTGACTGGCTGGGCTGTGGAGGTGGAAGGGTGGGGCTCAGGGGCAGCAGAGGTAGCTGGAAAGGGTGTCATTCTGGAGGACTTCCGAGTTCTAATTTTAGGCTTTGGGTGGAAAGGCTCCAGCTCTGAGGACAAGGGAGCCTCTGGAGCTTCCTGACTCCCATCTTGCCTGGTCTTACGAACGGTTGGCTTGATAGAAGGTAAAAGGGGAGAAAGAAGGGGCGGAGGTGCAAGATGTTTCTGGCTCTGAGAGTTAAGGGGCTTTTGGGGTGGGGCTGGGGCTTCAGGTACTGTAGGAGGCAGACAAGCATCTGGAGATTCCTGATCGCCCTAGGGAGAAACAGAAGCAAGTGAGGGGGAGGAGGTGGAGAAAAGAGATAGAACTTGGATACTGTTCTTGATACTTGTTTATGGTTAGATAGGCTTACCAGATTTCCACCGGGCGTGGTGGCTCACGGCTATAATCCCAGCACTTTGGGAGGCCGAGGCGGGCGGATCACGAGGTCAGGAGTTCAAGACCAGCCTGGCCAACATAGTGAAACCCCGTCTCTACTAAAAATACAAAAAAAAAGGCCAGGCATGGTGGCTGATGCCTGTAATCCCAGCACTTTGGGAGGCCGAGGCGGGTGGATCACAAGGTCAGGAAACCGAGACCATCCTGGCTAACACGGTGAAACCCCGTCTCTACTAAAAAATACAAAAAATTAGCCGGGCGTGGTGGCGGGCGCCTGTAGTCCCAGCTACTTGGAAGGCTGAGGCAGGAGAATGGCGTGAACTCGGGAGGCGGAGCTTGCAGTGAGCCGAGATGGTGCCACTGCACTCCAGCCTGGGGGACAGAGCAAGACTCTGTCTAAAAAAAAAAAAAAAAAAAAAAAAATTAGCTAGGTGTGTTGGCAGGCGCCTAGTAGTCCCAGCTACCTGGGAGGCTGAGGGAGGAGAGTCGCTTGAACCCGGGAGGCAGAGGTTGCAGTGAGCCAAGATCGCGCCACTGCACTCCAGCCTGGGTGACAGAGTGAGACTGTCTCAAAAAAAACAAAAAAATACACAAAAATTAGCCGGGTGACATGCGCCTGTAGTCCCAGCTACTTGGGAGGCTGCGGCAGGAAAATTGTTTGAACCCAAGAGACGGAGGTTACAGTAAGCTGAGATCACGCCACTGCACACTCCAGCCTGGGTGACAGAGACAGACTCTGTCTCAAAAAAGAACAAAAACAAAAAATATGCTCACTGGATTTTCCTTTCTGTCTATGATCTCTCCTCCATTAGACTGGGATCTACCTGGGAAGCTACCTTTTTCCCACAGACCTGTCTCCATAATGCTACTATAGTGTTCTCCACACGTGGATGATGGTAAGGAAAAGGATGGCTGGGGCAAAGAAAGAAGAAACACGAAGGGTCTTTCTTTTGAGTCAGGTAGGAGATACAACTTAGGAAACAGATATGGAAAACAACGGGTGCCGAGGATAAAGGAATAGAAGCCAATCAAGGCGTGACAAAAATGGAAGAAAACTGAATAATGAGAAAGGAATAGATTAAAGTGAGGCTAGGTGAAAGAGCATTGGAGAAGATATAGAGATGACTTGTGGAATAGGAGGTAGAAAAAGTAGCTCTCACCCTGGAAACCTTCTCAGCAGCTCTGATCCTGGAAGCCTTCTCAGCAGGTGGCATCTTGCAATTCAGGAGGCCTAGACAGAAAGTAAACACAAAGGTGGCTGAGTTCCAAGCAGCTGGTTGCCCAGGGGTTGATTATCACGAGGCCTGTGTATCACCTTGGGTTCCCCTCTGCCTTCACTTACCTTTCTGATGCCTCCTGGGGCTCACTGGGGATCCCCTTCCACCTGACTGGCTCCCAGAAGGTACGGGGGCTGAGGTAGGTCCCGGAAGGTCCCCCGCCCCCACCCCAGGCTCTGGTGTTGGGCTGGAGGCCTGCCCTTTCTGGTCCTGGCTCCCTCCCTCTGGCTCCCCTCTCTGTGTATCTCTCTCCAGGATCACTTTGGGCACCTTCTCTTCTAACTCGGCTGGATCGCACTCTCTGTTTGCTACTGGTCTCTCTACTTCTCTCTCAAATGCTTTGCTTGGAAGGGTCTGCTTCTGTACTTGTTTCTCTTGTATTTCCTCAGATGTCTCAATTTCTACCTTCAAACTCTCCCTATCTCTTTCAGGACTTGCACTTTCCCCATTTTTGTCAGATTCTTGTCTCTGGGTGTCTCTAGCTAACAACTGTTTTTGTTCTCTGTCCTGTTTCCCCTTGGTTAATTCTTCCTCTCCTGTCACATCTGTCTGTCTTTCTGGTAGCAGTTTCTCAGTTTCTCTCTCCAATGGCCCTCTCTCAGGGCCCACCCTCTCTGCTGTTTCTTTTGGTATACCCATGACTTTATCCACAGTCTGCCTCCCTCTGCCTTGAATCCCCATTGGCTCTGTGTGAACTGGGCTCTCTGGATGTTGGTCTCCTGGTATTGCCCTAGGTGGAGACAGGCAAGGTCCATAGGCCTCAAGGTGCGTGTCAAAAGGCTGGGTCTCAGAGTCCTCAGACTCTCTCAGACAGAATGGCTGTGTAGCCAGGACCTCCCATGGTTCATCTAGGGTACCTGGAAGGGGAGGAAGGAAGAGAGAGAGAGGGAGAGGGAGAGAAAAGAGGGAGAGGAAGAGGGAAAGGGAAGTACAGGTTGACATAATAAATATGATGAGAAAGGATTTAGATAAACTCATGAATAATAAATCTGAACAGGTTATTAAAGGTAAGCTGGGAATAAGGGTGGTAGTTATAACATTTAACGTTTGTCTCAAAAAGGTCATAGCCTTAGGCGGGCATGGTGGCTCAGACATGTAATCCCAGGACTTTGGGAGGCCAAGACATGAGGATTGCTTGAGGCCAGGAGTTTGAGACTAGCCTGGACAACATGGCAAAACCCCATCTCTACAAAAAATACAAAAAAATTAGGTGTGGGGACGGGGACCTGTAGTCCTGTAGTCTCAGCTACCCGGGAGGCTGAGGTAGGAGAACTACTTGAACCCCAAAGGTCAAGACTGTAGTGAGCTGTGATCATACCACTGCACTTCAGCCTGAGTGACAGAGACTCTGTCTCAAAAAAAAAAAAAAAAAAAAACCCAAGAGAAAAAGAAAAACATCATAGCCTAATATGAGTTCCCTGAATAGTCTCTCATCATACCACTGCATTCCAGCCTGAGTGACAGAGACCCTGTCTCAAAAAAAGAAAGAAAGAAAGAAAGAAAGAAAAACATCATAGCCTAATAAGAGAGTTCCCTGAATAGTCTCTCTCTCTCAAGACAGTTTCACTCTGTCACCCAGGCTGGAGTGCAGTGGCATGATGTTGGCTCACTGCAACTCCCAACTGCTGGGCTCAGGAGATCCTCCCACCTCAGCCTCCCAAGTAGCTGGGACTACGGCATGTGCCAAAGTGCCCGGCTAATTTTTTGTATTTGTTGTAGAGATGGGGTTTGGTCTTGAACTCTTAGACTCAAGTGATCCACCCACATTGGTCTCCCAAAGTGCTGGGATTACAGGTGTGAGCCACCATGCTTGGCTGGAATTTCCTTCTTTTTAAAGGCTGAATAGTATTCCACTGTGTATATATACCACATTTTCTTTTTTCTTCATTGACACATAATAATTGTACATATTTATGGGGTACCTGTGCTATTTTGACTCATGCATACAATGTACAATGATAAAACCAAGATAATTGGGATATCCACTATCTCAAACATTTATCATTTCTTTGTCTTGGAAACATATCAAATCTCTTCTAGCTATTTTGAAATACACAATAAATTATTAACTATAGTAACACTACTGTGGAACTGAACACTAGAACTTATTCATTCAATCTGACTGGATTTTTGTATTCATTAACCAACCTCTTTATGCATTCTGTCCCTCTACCCTTCCTAGCCTTTGGTAACCACCATTCTACTCTCTACTTCCATGAGATCCATGTTTTTAGCTCCCACATGAGTGAGCATACAATATTTGCCTTTCTGTGCTGACTTATTTCACTTAACATAATGTCCTCAGGGTTCATCCATGTTGCTGCAGATGACAGGATTTCATTCTCTTCTGTTGCTGAATACTGTTCCACTGTGTATATATACACATTTTCTTTTTTTTTTAGATTGAGTCTTGCTCTGTCACCCAGTTTGGAGTGCAGTGGCATGACCTCAGCTCACTGCAACCTCTGCGTCTTAGGCAGCAATCCTCCCATCTTAGCCTCCCGAGTAGCTAAGACTACAGGTGCATGCCACCATGCCCAGCTAAATTTTGTATTTTGAGCCACTGCACCCAGCCTATATACACATTTTCTTTTTTTTTATTATTAGAGATGAAGTCTCACTCTGTTGCCCATGTTGGAGTGCAGTGGTGTGACCTTGGCTCACTGCAACCTCTGCCTCCGGGGTTCAAATGAGTCTCCTGCTTCAGTCTCCCGAGTAGCTGGGACTACAGGCACCTGCCACCATGCCCAGCTAATTTTTGTATTTTTAGTAGAGACAGGGTTTCACCATGTTGGCCAGGCTGGTCTCAAACTCCTGACCTCATGTGATCCACCCACTTCGGCTTCCCAAAGTGCTGGGATTACAGGCATGAGGCACTGTGCCCGGCCTACATTTTCTTTTCTTTCGTTTTTTTGAGACAGAGTTTCACTCTTGTTGCCCAGGCCAGAGTGCGATGGCACAATCTCAGCTCACTGCAACCTCTGCCTCCTGGGTTCAAGGGATTCTCCTGACTCAGTCTCCTGAGTAGCTGGGATTACAGGCATGCACCACCACACCCGGCTAATTTTGTATTTTTAGTAGAGACGGGGTTTCTCCATGTTGGTCAGGCTGGTCTCAAGCTCCCGATCTCAGGTGATCTGCCTGCCTTGGCCTCCCAAAGTGTTGGGATTAGAGGTGTGAGCCACTGTGCCCGACCCCGGCCTACATTTTCTTTATCCATTCATCTGTTGATGGACATTTAGTTTGATTTCATATCTGCCTATTGTGAACAGTGCTGCAATAGTGTGTGTGTGTTTTTTTTAAGAGACATTGGGGGTGGGGGTTGAGGGATGGGCTATTGCCCAGACTGGGCTCAACTGATCTTCCCATCCTGGCCTCCCATGTAACTGGGACTACAGGTGCTCACTACTATGCTGGGCTAATTTTTTCATTTTTGTGGAGACCAGGTCTCTCTCTGTTGCCCAGGCCAGTCCCTAAATATTTTCAACCTGCAGCTGGTTGAATTCACGGACGCAAACTCGCATACACAGAGGGCTCACTGTAATCAGAGTATGAAAGAAACATGTAGGAAGGCAAATCAAGAAAGAACGCAGGCCGGGCGCAGTGGCTTACGCCTGCAATTCCAGCATTTTGGGAGGCCGAGGCAGGCGGATCACTTGAGGTCGGGAGTTTGTGACCAGCCTGGCCAACATGGTGAAACCCTGTCTCTACTAAACATACAAAAAATTAGCCAGGCATGGTCATGGACAGCTGTAATCCCAGCTACCTGGGAAGCTGAAGGAAGAGAAACCGCCTGGGAGGCGGAGGTTACAGTGAGCCGAGACTGCACCACTGTAATCCAGCCTGAGTGACAGAGGAAAAAAAAGAGAATGCAGAATTGGGGACACAGAGGAGGGAAGAGTTTCTTATACCTGTTGTCTGGAAGCTGCAATGGGAAGGGCCAAGCTCTTGGGGTGGAGTCAACATGAAGGCCTGGGTAGGTTCATCCTCCATGCTCTGGACTGCTGTACAGGAAAAGATGGCCTAAGTTCATCTCCTCCATACTACTGTAGGGTTCCATTCCTGGTCTCCTACCCTACCCATACTAGCCTTTACCCTTCAAGGACCACCAGTCTAATCTCCCAGCTCCCACTGGTACAGGATTCAAATAACACAGAAGTCCTCACCTTCCAGGCCCTGATTCTCCAGAAAGCACTGGGTAGCTTGTAGGTCCAGATCTTCAGAATCTGGTCGGGGAGGAATATAAGACAGTTTAAAACAAAAATCATACCTGACACTAAACTCCTTAAATAATCTCTACCTTTCTCTCCCCAACCCCAGCTGTTAGAACCCTGGTTGATTTCAGAGGTCAAGGAAGGAAGGCCAGCACTTACCACCATAGTTGTCTTCAGAGTCCTTGGTCCCACCCACATGTTGTTCTCTCTCCCTTCCTGTGGGGACCTGGGCTCCCTCTCTCTGTGGCTGGGTGGATTCCCCTAGAGTGTCTGTGTCCACCACCAGATCTGTGAGGTTCTCTCTTGAGATAGGGAGGTCCTGCTCCACTTGTGCCACAGGTGGCCCACCCTGGGCCCCCACCTCATGAGCTCTCTCCTGCTTAAGAACAGCTGCAGCCCACTCTGCCCCAGCATCCCCTTCTGCTGGAAGCTGGCTCTTTCTTACATCTGCAACTACTGAGGCTGTTAGGGAGGTGCCCTCCTCTGCATCTGTTTCACAGTCCCCATGCAGAGGCCAGGCTTCCTCTAGAGATACCACAAGCAGCTTTGCTGGTCCCCCAACTGCTTTCACATCTGTTTGATTTGTCCCCTCCACAGACACCTGATGCTTCTTTATATGTATAATGGCTGACCCTGGCGGGACTTCCTTCTCCACTTGTGTGTTGATGTCCACTGTGGTGGAGGCTTGGCTTCTCTCCAGGTGGATCCCAGGTGAGCTCTTATCTGCTTCCACACTGTCATCACTGTCCCCAAAAGGAGGTTGGTCCTTTTCTGAATGTGCTCTAACAAGGGCTCTAATCTTTGTGTGATCCTTGAGGACAGCTTCTCTATTTTCCACTGGGAGCTCTTCCTCCTCCACGTCTGTGTCACTGTCTCTCTCAGTGGTGGTTTGGCTTCGCTGCAGAAGGACCACACGTTGGGGCATGTCCTCTTCTGCATCTCTGTTCCATATAGCAGGCTGGCTCTCTTTCAGATGTGCCAAAGTCAGCGCTGCTGAGACTTCTTCCTCGTCATCTGTATCGCTGTTGATAACCATGGAAGCTTGGCTTTTCTCCAGAGGGACAGCCTGTGGGGCCTTGCCTTCTTCCACATCTGTATCACTACCAGCCTGGCTCTCCTGCAGATGGGCCAGGCCTGGTGCTCCAGGACCCCTTGTACCTACTCCATGGAAGATCTTCCTCTTCTTCATAGGAATGACAACTGGGGTTGCTGGGATCCTCTCTTCTTCCGCATCAGTGTCGCTGTCGATGAAGCCAAAAGGCTGAGCCCTTTCCAAATGGACCTCAGCTGGCCTTCCAGGAGGCCTGCTGTCATCATCCACATCTGTGTCACTGTCCTCTCCAGGAGGTTGGCTCCTCTCCAGAATCACCCCAGCTGGAACCACCCCATTCCCTGCACCCCTCTTGACTTTTGTATCATTGTCCCTCTCCTTCACTAAAGGCTGATCCTTTTCAAGCTGGATTTCAGTTACAACTTCAGCTTCAGACTGCTTTGCCTCTACAGTGGCACCTCTTCTGGCAGCTGAGGAGGCCTCCTCTGTGGCTGGTTGCTGACCTTCTTCCACATCTGTGTCACTGTTCAAATTGAAGGCAAAAGGCGGCCCAAGGCCGCCCAGGACCGGGGAATGCCCCTCTTCATCACTGTGAAGGGAAGAAAAGAGAGTCTATAGAATTTATTTCCCTGGAAGGGATACCCCAACTCAACTGTGAGCTCCTTGAGGGGAGACACAAGGTAGCATATTTCTTCTTCTGTTTCCAATTTGTTTTCCACTTGGCACATCAGATGTGCTCCATAAAAATTCAGCTGAGTGAATGAATATGTATGGTTCCCCAGCCCCAACTCTCATGATAATCATCTCTTTTAGAGATTGATCCTCCAGCCCCTGGTTCTTCCTCATTTTGAAGACTCAGGTGTCTGACTCTTTGGCACTCACCTCTCTGGAACTATCACAGAGGAAGATGTGGTCCTTGATTTTTTTACCATACGCCTTTCAGAAAGAAAATCTGTCAAGAACAGAAAGGAATGAGTTGACAATTGTACACTCATTATTCCTGTCTCCTCATTCTCCCTGCCAATATACAAACTTACCTACTTCCTCCTCCGAGTCCTCAGCCAACAGAAGCCTCTGGGGTTGAGTTTCTCCCTGTACTCTGGGTGTCTCTTCTACTGTCAGAGGGCCCCGGGAGACAAAGGGCAGAGAGACATCCAGGCGATGGTACTGGCAGAGCAAGTCAGCAAAGAGAATCAATTCCTGGTCCCTCAGACGGTGACTCACCCCAGGGCTCAAAACCTTAGGAGGTCTCAGGATTTGAGTACCATTAAGGCTCCCACAGTCTCGGAGGATAGGTGCCTTGTCCCAGGCTAAGATTTCAATCTCTGCATGTTGTTTGGAGATAGATGGAAAGGGCAGGGCCACAGAGCAGTCAGGCATTCGGCCTACCACATTCTTCCCGAGGTGTAGTGGGAAATCTAAGAATTAGAGAGGTAGATAAGCTCCAAGATCAGAGTCCTGGCCTGTCATTAGGAAAAAGTGCCTATTAGGTACTCTACTACTCACTCAAGGCCTCCATATGCATTAGAAAAATAAAAGGCCCTAGGACATCTAGGCACTGAAAGAGTATATGCGATACCCCATCCATCCACAATGGATGTTTTTTTACTGTTATAAAATACACATAACACAAAATGTATCACCTTAATAATTTTAAGTGTATAGTTCAGTGGCATTAAGTGCATTCACACTGTTGTGCAATCATCACTACCATCCATCTCCAGAGCACACAATTGGATTTTATTTGATTTTTTTTTTTTTTTTGAGACAGGGTCTCATTCTGTCACCCAGGCTAGAATGCAGTGTCATGATCATAGATCAGTGCAATCTTGAACTCTTGGGTTCAAGTGATCATCTGGCTCAGCCTCCCAAGTAGGTGGGACTGCAGATGTGAAATGAACCACCACACCTGGCTAATTTTTAAATTTTTCGTAGAGACAGGGTTTTGCTATGCTACCCAGGCTGGTCTCTAACTCCTAGTCTCAAGTGATCCTTCTGCCTTGGCCTCTCAAAGCACGGGAATTACAGGTGTGAGTCACTGCACCCAGCTTCATTTCAATCTCTTAATTTTCTTTTATCAAAGTAAAATCACTTCCAGTGAGTCCAGGGTAGTAGTCTGCAACTATCAACTCAATCGGCCCCATCTCTTCCATTCATGAAAAAAAAAAATTCACATCTCATTGAAACATACATAAGCTTCTTGCAACCCTCCAAATACCTTACCACAAAAATAAAAGATCTATATCAATACTTGAACATCCAATACCCTCTGACCTTTTTCTGGTCCATGGGCACCACTAAAGATATGTAGCCGCCCTACTGGCTCCACGTTACACCTCAAGGATTCACTGGATTGCTCTGTCTCCTCCTCTTCTTCAACATCCCAGTCAATAGCCTGGGTGTCCTCCATGATCTGGGAAGGATACACATTATCAATTATCCTCATTATTGGTTCACACAAACAGCATCAGAGTTATCAGACTGAAAACTAGGGGGTAAACTGGATCATTATGAACGTTGATGCTTCTCTTTCCACCAATCTTTCTGTTGTTAACCTTCTGAAGCACTTAAAACATTTTTTTCTTTTTTGTGATGGAGTCTCGTTCTGCTCCCCAGGCTGGCATGCAGTGGTAAGATCTTGGGCCCACGGCAACCTCTGCCTCCCGGGTTTCAAGCAATTCTCTCACCTCAGCCTCCCAAGTAGCTGAGATTACAGGCACCTGCCACCATGCCTGGCTAATTTTTGTATTTTTAGAAGAGATGGGGTTTTGCCATATTGGCCAGGGTGGACTCGAACTCTTGACCTTGGGTGATCCGCCCACCTTGGCCTCCCAAAGTGCTGGGATTACAGGCGTGAGCCACTGCGCCCCGTTGTTTTTCTTTCTTTTTTAGCCCATGCTTTTTATACTTTTACCAGACCACCTCAGTTTGATCAGATGCAACTGCAAAAAATGATAATAAAAGATGACATATATAGAAGCTTCCTATGTGTCAAGCACTGTTCTAATTACTTTATATCGACTCTGACTCATTTAATCTTCACAAGAACCTTGTAAAGTAGTATTACTATCTTCCATTTCTTCAGATAAAGAAACTGCAACATAGCTGGGTTAAGATTTTCAGATCTCCTTGAAACATACATAAGCATATATAAGGTTAAGACTTGCCCCAAATCACTCAGATGTCTCTCCTCTAAAATCTTGATGGTTTTTCGTGCACACAGAATAAAATCTAAACTCCTTAGCGAGACCCTCCATGATCTGAACTTCACATCTTGTAACGCCTACCCCTCGCCCGCAAAAGCCTATGGTTCAGCCAGACATTTTCCCCAGTCTTCGAACACACTGTTCTTGTCTTCCCACATCTTCATGCCTTAGCCCAATTCCTTGGCTTTTTCCCACCTAGTTTTCTGGTCCAACTTCTACCATCCTTTAAGATTCAGTTCAAATGTCACTTTCTTTCTTTTTTTTTTTTTTGAGATGGAATCTCGCTCTGTCGTCCAGGCTGGACTGCAGTGGTGCTATCTTGGCTCACTGCAACCTCTGCCTCCAGGCTTCAAGCGATTCTCCTGCCTCAGCCTCCCGAGCAGCTGGGATTACAGGCGCCCGGCATCACGCCTGGCTAATTTTTGTATTTTTAGTAGAGACGGGGTTTCACCACGGTCTCGAGCTCCTGACCTCAGGTGATCCGCCCACCTTGGCCACCCAAAGTGTTGGGATTACAGCAGTGAGCAACCGCGCCCGGCCTCAAATGTCACTTTCTCAGCAAACCCTTTCCTGGCGTGTTCCCTGCCTTCTCGTGTTCCTGGTGTATCCTGCCTGTTCCACAGTGGTCAATGGATTTGTGCTTACTCTAAGATCTCTCGCTATATTGTAACCATTACTTTCCATTTCTGCCTTCACACTCACCCACCTCCAGGACTGGATTAGGGGAACCGTGTCTTTCCCCTAGGGTCCATCATATTCATTCAATGGTTATGGTATACCTGTTTGAAGTATTTGGTATACATCTGTGAACCAAACATGAAATCGACCCTGCCCTCGGGAAGGCTCATCACCGAGCCTACTGATGAAGGAACAAATGAGATGGAAAGAAAATAGCATAAATGGAATTCACCTGAAAATATGCCACTCTAGAGGGAAACTGTTGACAGGTAGGGAAAGTAGGATGCCCCATGGATAAAGTGTCAACTCCGTCTTTATGACAGGCCAACTCAGCGGGTGCCCACCACGCTTGGCTCCAATTCAAAGAGCCACCATCTTTGGTCCCCACCTCAGTGGGTTCCCTTGTGGCCCGACGTCTCCCTGTGTCTTCATACCTAAACTCGGAGCGGGGCGCCAGGTAAGGATGAGTATTACAGTCCGAGAAGCGAACTTCCAAGTCACCTCCGCCCAGTCGCACCCAAGGTACGCCCCTCCCGCCTTCTGGGGGAACCAAGATGGCTCCCGGGGAGCCGTGGGCCAGGCCCCTAGAACTCACCTACTTTAAGTCCCCGCGCGCGCCACCAGTAACGGTCGCGACCCGGGTGGAGCGACTGCGTGTGCCGAAAAAGAGCTTATTTGCTGATTGGCTTCTGCCGCTGTCTTTCACAACCGCAGCCAGTCGAGCGGAGGCACACCCAAAGCCCCGCCCCCTTAGAGTTCAAATAGGTGGTGTCTCCCAGGCTGCTGAGATCAGTTAATGAGACGGTAATTGAAGGCCGCCGTGCGCCAACAGAATAATGCACGTCGATTGGGCAGCTCCAAGGGACAACCCACTACCGCTTGCCCGCCCACCACCCACTTCCCGCGCAGTTCCAAACCGCGACCAGAGAGTCTGGCGCCAGCTGCCGGCAACGGATAGAGGGGCTGTGTCATAGACGTCCGACGTGTCTGGTAAGGCCAGAGCGCCTTTCCTCGGTCCTCCTAGACATGGTGTCCGCTGACTCATGAGAAATGAAAGTGGGTTGCGCGTTGCAGTCGTGGCTGGAGGCTGCAGTTTGGAGAACAGCCCGTAGGCGTGGCAGTTCACTCCTGTTGCATTGGAATTTCATTTCCTTTTGATTTGGTTTGTAGTAGAAGTAATATCTTTCTTCCTGGGAATACGTCTCTGACGGACATTTTGAGGTCATTTTCTTAAATCCAAGATCCTAAAGATCTGTAGTCGAACAGAGAAAACTGGTTTGCTCTCTGTCTTAAAGGCTGTCCCCACCTTTCGAGGGGCGAGGGAAGGATCATAAAATCATTTATTTTTATTTTTTAATTAACTAATTTATCTATTTTTTGAGATGGAGTTTTGCTCTTGTTGCCCAGGCTGGAGTGCAATGGCGCGATCTCGACTCACCGCAACCTCTGCCTCCCAGGTTCAAGCGATTCTCCTGCCTCAACCTCCCAAGTAGCTGGGATTACAGGCATGCGCCACCACGCCCAGCTTATTTTTGTATTTTTAGTAGAGACGTGGTTTCTCCATGTTGGTCAGGCTGGTCTCGAACTTCTGACCTCAGGTGATCCGCCCGCCTCGGCCTCTCAAAGTGGTGGGATTACAGGCGTAAACCACCGCATGCGGCCATCTATATTTTATTTTTTGAGACGGACTTTCGCTCTTGTTGCCTAGGCTGGAGTGCAATGGCGCGATCTCGACTCACCGCAACCTCCGCCTTCTGGGTTCAAGCAATTCTCCTGTCTCAGCCTCCCGAGTAGCTGGGATTACAGGCATGCGCTACCACGCCCGGCTAATTTTGTATTTTTAGTAGAGACGGGGTTTCTCCATGTTGGTCAGTCTGGTCTCAAACTCCGGACCTCAGGTGATTCTCCCGCCTGGGCCTCCCAATGTGCTGGGATTACAGGCGTAAGCCACTGCGCCCGGCCTATTTTATCTCACAATAAGACATGAAGAAAATGGTAACTATAACACTTGCATAATTCATAAAGTCCTTTCTGTTGGTTATCTCAATTCTGTGCACAACAGTCAAATAAGCAGATTTTACAAACGAGGAGCTGGAGCCCTGCAAAGTTAAAGGACTTTCCTAGGATCCTACAGCTAATATAGAGACAAATTGAAACAAGTTATCTGATTGTGTATTTTGAGTTATTTCTACTCCCACAAAATGACTGTGTTCATTTCCCTAAAACGTAAAGCATTATATTTTAAGTGGGTAGAGAGGGCTTACACAAGTTGATGTTCCCTCATTTAGAAGGCAACTTAGAAATACATTGATCTGCCCAGCGCGGTGGCTCACGCCTGTAATCCCAGCACTTTGGGAGGCAAAGGCGGGCGAATCACGAGGTGAGGATATCGAGACCATCCTGGCTAACACAGTGAAACCCTGTCTCTACTAAAAATACAAAAAAAAAAAAAGAAATACATTGATCTGTGTGATCGAATGTGAATTAACAATGACGTTGACTTGATACTACATTTCTGAGTGGTTACCACATTTTATTGATTGTATGCTTCTCACCAGACTGCAACATCCTGGAGGACAG
This sequence comes from Homo sapiens, assembly GCF_000001405.40. NCBI lineage: Eukaryota > Metazoa > Chordata > Mammalia > Primates > Hominidae > Homo > Homo sapiens. The sequence goes on from NT_167244.2 coordinate 2,048,734, forward strand.
GGAGCTAATTCTTAATCATTTTGTAACCATAGCTCCTAATTTGGTGGATACATAGTAACTATCAAATAAGTGAATAATAAATCTATGGGAAGAAGCAGATGGACTCCGTCTTGAACCCACTCAATTTTTCCCCCATCAATTACCCCTCTCTCGTTTTTCAATACTGGGTCTCTTGCAGAGTTGCAGTGGCGGCCACCTGGTCAGTGAAATCAGCGAATTGAAAAACCACTGACTTCATTAACATGTCTAAAGAGGCAGGCTGAAAAAACTGAAAATCTATCAGGCATCTCATTCCATAGTTCCCTGTTTGACAAGAAGACCAAGGTGTCTTCAAAGTCTGCCCTAAGGTCCAGATCTCCTACCCACGTAGGAGACTTCTAGTTTCACAAATCCCCGATGTCGGTTTCTCTAAACTATTTTATTCTTTGAACATACTCTCCAGACAACATCGCTATCCTGAAAAGCCCTTGCTGCAATTTTGTTTCTCTTTCAAAACAATGGCTCGAAAATTTCCAAGGAAATAGCAAGAGGGCGATTCCCTTCTTGAAGTATTTGAGGGAGCAGAAGCTTACTGAAGTTCATGCCTTGGGTCACCAAAGGCCAGGGGAGGCAGAGCACGGTGCCAGACTTCTCCCCATTTTTCGCTGAACTAAGCAATCCTTTCTCCCCTAGAGGTACTGCAGCTGGGAGCTTTCAGGGCGTGTCTTCCCCACCACCCAACTTCTGGAACCCCAGACTTCTCAATTCCTGTACCCCCAAGAACTGCTCACTTTTTGTACAAAAACCTCAGGCATAGAGGAAAGGAATCTTGCGCAAGGTCGTTTTTCATTTACAAAACAAAAACCCCATGAAAACCAAACCGGTACCCACCCATTCGTCACTTCATTTTGCAGCATGGACAACAATAGGGGACTACAACTCCCAAAGAGGACTGCGCTCGTCCACTGGCTCAGAGGCCAATGGACGCCTGGTACATGACCGGCATCGACTAATCAGGGCCAGGCTCGATGAGGCTTTGTCTCCCTACCGCGCGCGGGGCCGATTCTCCCGCCTCCCAGCCCCGGCGCACGCGCGCCCCGCCCAGCCTGCTTTCCCTCCGCGCCCTCCCCTCTCCTTTCTCCCTCTCAGAACCTTCCTGCCGTCGCGTTTGCACCTCGCTGCTCCAGCCTCTGGGGCGCATTCCAACCTTCCAGCCTGCGACCTGCGGAGAAAAAAAATTACTTATTTTCTTGCCCCATACATACCTTGAGGCGAGCAAAAAAATTAAATTTTAACCATGAGGGAAATCGTGCACATCCAGGCTGGTCAGTGTGGCAACCAGATCGGTGCCAAGGTAAGAATTTTACACCTCTTTTATTTCTTTTTACAAGGAAAAATCCAGGTAAGTTATGAAAAAATGGTTGTGGGGCATTTGCACCCGCTATCCTTAATCAAGATTTGCCCCTCTCAAGTTTGTTACATTTATATATATAACAATTGTAGCTAGCATTTGCCTTTGGAAAGCTGGGAATCATTTTTCTTGGCAGGCACATTTTGGAGAAACTAGTAAAAGGGCTCTTCGGGTTTGGGGGCGGGAAGACCGAGGACTTATAAGATGTTACTTAAAAGGGCTTCTAACGGTCCGAGAACCGGGCAGGGAGAGAGATGCGGAAACGGTCGCAGACAAAGCGGGGCGAGGTTTTGCCCATGTGCATCCCGCCCAACCCCCCTGCGGGGTACTTAGGGCCAAACCGGAGCGGGAAGGGGTGAGGCCATCGGGCGGCTGCAGAGAGCTCCAGCGCAAGGGTGGGGGGCGATGCGCCAGGGTGGGCTGCGCTGGGCGCTACCTTTCACAAAAGACCAGGGACCCCAACGCGCCCGCGACCCCAGAGGGCCGGTCCTGTATTTGTTCCTGGGTGGAAGGAGAATAAGAACGGGATTAATTTTACTTGCTTTCATGGCCCCTAAGAGAGACTTTTTTAGGGCGTGAACAGATATGTCGAGAAAATGGGGGTGTGTGGTTTTCTTTAATGAGTCCCTCAGGACTTAATGGGAGAGAAAGAATCCTTTAAATCAAGGGGTAGAAATGTAGCGAAGGAATAAAAATTCCGAGGCCAAGGGGGATTTTTTTTTTTTGCGCGCGGTTACAGTGTAGCGGGGGAGGGGCGGGAGGAAGTGCGGCTGCTACGTTGTAGCAGAAGGGCGGGGCCCTGCGGGGCGGGGCCGGGGCGCCGTGGGCGCGCGGGGACAATGCGGCGTTGCCCGCCGGCAGGGGCGCGCTACCTTGGGCCCCGCCCCTCGCGCGCGGAATTTTTGTCCCTGGCCCCGCCCACGCGCGAAGTCTTTTGTCGGCGGCTCGACCTGCGCGTGCGCCGCAGTCACGTGGAGGGCGGGGGGGGTGGTCGACTGCGGCGGCAGCTCTTTCCTCAGACCCCCAGCCTTTTGTGCGCCGCGCGGTGGGGCGGTGCCCAGCTTGGGGGAAGGAGAGCGGCGCTTATCGAAGTGTGGTCGACCTCCATCCGCCCACCGAGCACTTGGGACCCGCTGCACATATCCAGAGCAGGGAAAGCTGTGGCTTTCTCGGGGGAGCGAGTGTCTAGGGGAAGGGTGTGGCAGGCCCACGGGATGCCATGCCCTAGAACAACGGCCTGAGCGCTTGTGGAATTAAAATGGGAGATGTGGGGCCGAGGTGGGCGAATTGGGATCCCTCCAGGTCAGGGGTTCGAGACCATCCTGGGCAACAAAGCGAGACCCTCCCCCATGCCACGTTTCTACAAAAAATAAAAGTAAAAAATTAGCTGGGCGTGGTGGCGCGCGTCTGTGGTCCCAGCTACTCGAGAGGCTGAGATGGGAGGATCGGTTGAGCCTGGGAGTTCCACGCTGTAGTCATCCGTGATTGCACCACTGCACTGCAGGCTGGGCAACAGGAAGACCCTGTCTTAAAAATTAGAAGAAGCTGGGCGCGGTGGCTCACCCTTGTAATCCCAGCACTTTGGGAGGCCAAGGTGGGCGGATCACGAGGTCAAGAGATCTAGACCATCCTGGCCAACATGGTGAAACCCGTCTCTACTAAAAATACAAAAAGTAGCTGGGCGTGTTGGTGCGCGCCTATAGTCCCAGCTACTCCGGGGGCTGAGGCAGGAGAATCGCTTGAACCCGGGAAGCAGAGGTTGCAGTGAGCCGAGATAGCGCCACTGCACTCCAGCCTGGTGACAGAGCGAGACTCCGTCTCAAAAAAAATTAAGAAAAAGATGAAATAAAATGGTAGTTGGGGACATAGTTGGCTGGGACTTGACCTGTTGTGGTCTCGTTGCTCCCCCTCGGCAGTTCTGGGAGGTGATCAGTGATGAACATGGCATCGACCCCACCGGCACCTACCACGGGGACAGCGACCTGCAGCTGGACCGCATCTCTGTGTACTACAATGAAGCCACAGGTAAGGGCAGGAGCCCGGGCAGCTCAGGTTCCCTTCCCTGTCTCCCACTTATCTGGGATCTCTTTCCATTTCTGGGCACGCCTTATCCCCTTTGGGTGAATCTGTCATTTTGTCCCTTTCGTGAACCACCGTCGGGGCCAAAGACGTCTGCTGCCACCTGGTGGCGGGACCTGGAATGACAAGTCTCTGATCCCTGCTGTCTCCCATTTCCAGTATATCTATAAACCTTCCCTTCTGCCAGATTTCACAGCTCTTAACTTTATTCTCTGTAGGTGGCAAATATGTTCCTCGTGCCATCCTGGTGGATCTAGAACCTGGGACCATGGACTCTGTTCGCTCAGGTCCTTTTGGCCAGATCTTTAGACCAGACAACTTTGTATTTGGTGAGTTATACAGATGATATTAGCAGATGATATACCATCGTGTTCAACTTATTTGGGTGCAAGGACACAGCAAAAGTTAGGAGATGATTGTTGTATTGGAGTGCTAATACAGAAATGTGTTCTGAAATCTAACGGAGGGTAGAGGTAGTGCCTACTATTGCTGGTAAATTATGGGGCAGTAGGGGGAGAATATATCACAGTGAAGGAGAAAGAAGATACATCCGAGGGAATTATTTGAAAAGTTGAAAGATGGAAACATCATGTATCTTCCATACCCTGTTAATTGAGCTTTTCTCCTGACTGCATTCCAGGTCAGTCTGGGGCAGGTAACAACTGGGCCAAAGGCCACTACACAGAGGGCGCCGAGCTGGTTGATTCTGTCCTGGATGTGGTACGGAAGGAGGCAGAGAGCTGTGACTGCCTGCAGGGCTTCCAGCTGACCCACTCACTGGGCGGGGGCACAGGCTCTGGAATGGGCACTCTCCTTATCAGCAAGATCCGAGAAGAATACCCTGATCGCATCATGAATACCTTCAGTGTGGTGCCTTCACCCAAAGTGTCTGACACCGTGGTCGAGCCCTACAATGCCACCCTCTCCGTCCATCAGTTGGTAGAGAATACTGATGAGACCTATTGCATTGACAACGAGGCCCTCTATGATATCTGCTTCCGCACTCTGAAGCTGACCACACCAACCTACGGGGATCTGAACCACCTTGTCTCAGCCACCATGAGTGGTGTCACCACCTGCCTCCGTTTCCCTGGCCAGCTCAATGCTGACCTCCGCAAGTTGGCAGTCAACATGGTCCCCTTCCCACGTCTCCATTTCTTTATGCCTGGCTTTGCCCCTCTCACCAGCCGTGGAAGCCAGCAGTATCGAGCTCTCACAGTGCCGGAACTCACCCAGCAGGTCTTCGATGCCAAGAACATGATGGCTGCCTGTGACCCCCGCCACGGCCGATACCTCACCGTGGCTGCTGTCTTCCGTGGTCGGATGTCCATGAAGGAGGTCGATGAGCAGATGCTTAACGTGCAGAACAAGAACAGCAGCTACTTTGTGGAATGGATCCCCAACAATGTCAAGACAGCCGTCTGTGACATCCCACCTCGTGGCCTCAAGATGGCAGTCACCTTCATTGGCAATAGCACAGCCATCCAGGAGCTCTTCAAGCGCATCTCGGAGCAGTTCACTGCCATGTTCCGCCGGAAGGCCTTCCTCCACTGGTACACAGGCGAGGGCATGGACGAGATGGAGTTCACCGAGGCTGAGAGCAACATGAACGACCTCGTCTCTGAGTATCAGCAGTACCAGGATGCCACCGCAGAAGAGGAGGAGGATTTCGGTGAGGAGGCCGAAGAGGAGGCCTAAGGCAGAGCCCCCATCACCTCAGGCTTCTCAGTTCCCTTAGCCGTCTTACTCAACTGCCCCTTTCCTCTCCCTCAGAATTTGTGTTTGCTGCCTCTATCTTGTTTTTTGTTTTTTCTTCTGGGGGGGGTCTAGAACAGTGCCTGGCACATAGTAGGCGCTCAATAAATACTTGTTTGTTGAATGTCTCCTCTCTCTTTCCACTCTGGGAAACCTAGGTTTCTGCCATTCTGGGTGACCCTGTATTTCTTTCTGGTGCCCATTCCATTTGTCCAGTTAATACTTCCTCTTAAAAATCTCCAAGAAGCTGGGTCTCCAGATCCCATTTAGAACCAACCAGGTGCTGAAAACACATGTAGATAATGGCCATCATCCTAAGCCCAAAGTAGAAAATGGTAGAAGGTAGTGGGTAGAAGTCACTATATAAGGAAGGGGATGGGATTTTCCATTCTAAAAGTTTTGGAGAGGGAAATCCAGGCTATTAAAGTCACTAAATTTCTAAGTATGTCCATTTCCCATCTCAGCTTCAAGGGAGGTGTCAGCAGTATTATCTCCACTTTCAATCTCCCTCCAAGCTCTACTCTGGAGGAGTCTGTCCCACTCTGTCAAGTGGAATCCTTCCCTTTCCAACTCTACCTCCCTCACTCAGCTCCTTTCCCCTGATCAGAGAAAGGGATCAAGGGGGTTGGGAGGGGGGAAAGAGACCAGCCTTGGTCCCTAAGCCTCCAGAAACGTCTTCTTAATCCCCACCTTTTCTTACTCCCAAAAAAGAATGAACACCCCTGACTCTGGAGTGGTGTATACTGCCACATCAGTGTTTGAGTCAGTCCCCAGAGGAGAGGGGAACCCTCCTCCATCTTTTTTGCAACATCTCATTTCTTCCTTTTGCTGTTGCTTCCCCCCTCACACACTTGGTTTTGTTCTATCCTACATTTGAGATTTCTATTTTATGTTGAACTTGCTGCTTTTTTTCATATTGAAAAGATGACATCGCCCCAAGAGCCAAAAATAAATGGGAATTGAAAAAAGCTGCGAGATGTGTGCTTATTTAGGGAAACACGGCTGGCTGATGGAGGCATGGGGCCTGAGTTCAGTTGCACTGCTCTCCTTAAATTGACACTTAATATTGAGTCCCTGTCCTACGGATTCAACCAACTGGATATTGGGAAAAGAGTTGTACTGGACATGTATAGACTTCTCATTATTCCCTAAACAATAATAGTATAAATTATTTACATAATATTTGCATTAGATTAGGTATTACAAGTAACGTAGAGATGATTTGAAGTACACAGGTTATATGCAAGTACTACATTTTATATGAGGGACTTGGGTGTCTGCCGATTTGGTATCTCAGGGAGGTACTGGTAAGGACACTGACTGCTTTATAGACCCTCACATCATTGTTTCTGGTACCCAAACTGCTCTGAGCACCAGTCAGTCTTTACTGTAGTCTCTGACAGCTCACTACAGCCTTGATGTCCTGGGCTCAAACAATCCATCTCATTCTCCCAAGCAGCTGGGACTGTAGGCATAAGCCAGGTGAGCCAGTGCACCAGGCCCACCAATGAGTCTTAACTGGGGAAGGCATAGGCTTAGATGCAGGATCCAGGGATGGAAAATGGAAGCTGAGAAGAATGACAAATCACGTGTAACTGGTTTCCAGACCAGCATCCACATCCTCTGGGAACTTGCAGAAATAAATGCAAGTTTTTCATCCCACCCAGATGTACTGAACCATAAATGGTTGAACTGGCCTTGGCCACCCAGCCCAGGATTCCTTTGGGTTATGTGTACCCATGGCCATTTCCTGTGATCCTGTGGGCTTAGTCAACCTATGACACCAAGATAACTAGTGAAGCCCTGGTATGGTGGCTCCCACTTGTAATCCCAGCACTCTGGGGGGCCGAGGCAGGAGGATGGCTTGAGCCCAGGAGTTCCACACCAGCCTGGGCAGCAGTGAACCATCTAACAAAAAAAAAAGCTGGGCATGGTGGTGCATGCCTGTAGTCCCAGCTGCTGGGGTAGAGGGGGGTGGTGGTTGTTGGGGGTAGGGGGGTGGGGATTGGATGGGAGGATTGCCTGAGCCTGGGAGGTAGAGGCTGCAATGAGCCCTGACCCTACCCCTGCACCCCAGCCTGGGTGACAGAGCAAGACCTTGTCTTTTTTTTTCTTTTTTCTTGAGATGGAGTCTTGCTATGTTGCCCAGGTTGGAGCACATTGGCGCGATCTTGGCTCGCTACAACCTCTGCCTCCCGGGTTCAAGGAATTCTGCCTCAGCTTCCCAAGTAGCTGGGATTACAGGCACCCACCATCACGCCGGGCTAATTTTTGTATTTTAGTAGAGATGGGGTTTCACCACGTTGGCCAGGACTGGTCTCAAACTCCTGACCTCAAGTGATCCACCCGTCTCAGCCTCCCAAAAAGTTCTGGGACTACAAGCATGAGCCACCGTGCCCGGCCCAAGCCCAAGACCTTGTCTTTAAAAAAAAAAAAGGATAACTAGGCGGGATTGCTACCTTATGGTCCCATTCTAAAACAATCTGTACCATCTACTACCTCATACTTTTAAGTTCACAATGCAAGTCTCAAAGCTACCCTGAAAACAATAATTCCTTTTGCCATGTTTTCAGGAATTCTAGGAACTAGTATTATTCCCAACATTCCTTCTATTTTAGCATGCTTTTCTGACTATAATACACTGTTGGGGGGAAAAATTAACTCTAAAACTCTTGACAGTATATAAGTAACTTGCTTTTCTCCCATTCTAGAAAGCCTATTGTATGCAAGAAAGCCTATTGTATGCAAGGGAAGAAGCTACATTCTAGCATTCATTTTCTTTCTAATAGAGCCAGGATCTTGCTTTGTCACCCAGGCTGGAATGCAGTGGTGTGATCATGGCTCACTACAGCCTTAGACTCCTGAGCTCAAGTGATCCTCCCACCTTAGCCTCCCAAGTAGCTAGGACTATAGGCAAGAGTCACCATACCTGAGTCTAGCATTCATTTTTTTTCTCTTTTTTTTTGAAACAGTCTCACTCTGTCACCTAGGCTAGAGTGCAGTGGTGCGATCTTGGCTCACTGCAACCTCTGCTTCCCAGGTTCAAGTAATTCTCCTGCCTCAGCCTCCCAAGTAGCTGGGACTACTACTTGGCATGTTTCACCCTGCCTGGCTAATTTTTGTATTTTTGGTAGAGACAAGGTTTCGTCATGTTGGCCAGGCTGGTCTTGAACTCCTGACCTCAGATGATCTGCCTGCCTTGGCCTCCCAAAGTGCTGGGATTACAGGCATGAGCCACTGTGCCGGGCCAAGCATTAATTTCCAGTTGCTTCTGTTTTATTAGTACTTACTTACAGCAATTTATTTGGGTAGCAAAGTTGAAAACCTCCAGCCCATCCCTCAGTCTTGGTCAGGAAAATATTCTAGACAACAGGCTCAAACAGTCTGATTTAATTAGGAAGTTAAATAAGTTGAGGTGGGGTGGAGTGGGATCATCAGAAGGCTGACATGGGACCGCTGGAGTTGGCAATCATAGCAGTGTGAGGTTGGCAAGGGGAGCAACCCCCTTCAAGACAAGGCACAAACTATTTGGCAAGGAGAGATGAGGGGTGGGACCTCACTGTCAATGGACATGCTCAGGGAGGCCAGTGGGTTACATGCAACAGGAGGATCATTCAGGCAACTTCAGCTATGAGGCTGGGCATCTGTGAGGGCTGAAGGCTCAGGCTGTTCTCAAAGGCTTGTGATTCACCTGGCAAAAAGACAACAGTAGATGACACTTGGGAACATTCGGGAGGCTGAGGCCCCTACTCTCCCGGGCCCCAGTTTAGACGAATGGGCTATAGGCAGAACACACACGGCCAGGGTTCTTTCTGGTGCCCTACCACCTGTTTCCCCAAACAAAGACATCAGGACCCACATACAATAAATCACTGAAGAGAGGAGAGGGGGCAGAGCCTTGTTTGCACACTCTCCTTAGCTCTGAATATTCTACTGCAGGCCTCCAGGAGGCTCCAAGGAACCCAGCTTGAAGGTCATTGGTATGATCCAGTGCTTTTATTTACATACGCTTTTTTTTTTCTTTTTTTTTTTGAGACGGAATCTCACTCTATCACCCAGGCTAGAATGCAGTGGTGCGATCTTGGCTTACTGCAGCCTCCGCCTCCTGAGTTCAAGTGATTCTCCTGCCTCAGCCTCCCGAGTAGCTGGGATTACAGGTATGCGCCACCATACCCAGCTAATTTTTGTATTTTTGGTAGAGATGGGGTATCACCATGTTGGCCAGGGTGATCTCAAACTTCTGACCTCAGCTGATCGTCCACCCTGGCCTCCCAAAGTTCTGGGATTACAAGTGTGAGCCACAGCACCCAGCCCGAATATGCATTTCTTTCTCTTTTTTTTTTTTGAGACAGAGTCTTGCTCTGTTGCCTAGGATGGAGTGCAGTGGTGCTATCTCGGCTCACTGCAAGCTCTGCCTCCCAGGTTCACACCATTCTCCTGCCTCAGCCTCCCCAGCAGCTGGGACTACAGGCACACACCGCCACGCCCGGCTGTTTTGTATTTTTAGTAGAGACGGGGTTTCACTGTGTTGGCCAGGATGGTCTCAATCTCCTGACCTCGTGATCCGCCCGCCTCAGCCTCCCAAAGTGCTGGGATTACAGGCATGAGCTACCGCGCCTGGAATTTTTTTTTTTTTTTGAGATAGAGTCTTATTCTGTCACCCAGGCTGGAGTGCAGTGGTGTGATCTCAGCTCACTGCAACCTTCGGCTCCTGGGTTCCAGCAATTCTCCTGCCTCAGCTTCCCGAGTAGCTGAGATTACAGGCATGCACCACCAAGCCTGGCTAATTTTTTTTTGTATTTTTAGTAAAGATGGTGTTTCACCATGTTGGCCAGGCTGGTCTCCAACTCCTAACCTCAGGTGATCTGCCTGCCTCAGCCTCCCAAAGTGCTGGGATTACAGGCGTAAGCCACTGCACCTGGCCCCATTTCTTTAACATACACATAATGCTTACTATATACCAGGCACTATTCTAAACACTGCAAATATTTGCTCGAGCCCCTCAACAATTCAACAGGGTAGTTTCTAATTATTAACCCAATTTTAAGATGAGGAAACAGGTATAGAGAGGTTGATTACTTGTCCAAGATTACAGCTAGCAGGCATTGTAGCTAGGATTCGCAACAAAACAGTGGTTCCAGAGCCTGTTTGCTGACTTCTACCATGATCTACAGGTGAATTAACTGGGGCGCTGAGAAAAGCAGTGATATGCCCTAGAATTAATTAACTGTCAATAGGCTGCAACTAGTTCCCTATACTAGTGGGGTGACCACAAGCACAGGTTGCAGAGACAGTCGACCTGGATTTCACTCCAGCTGCACTAGCAGAATGAGTAGGAACATGCTGGATGTTGAGTTTCTGGACTTTGTAAAATCCTATATACCCTAATGGTAGTTTGATTTAAAACAACTCATTTATGTAGAAGCTTAGCACTGTGTCTGGCACACAGAAAGTGATTAATAAACATCAATGACTCCCAGGCCTGGATGCTGGTTAAATGCTAGGCATACTGTGTCACACAACACAGGAACCTAGCAATTCTCCTCAGCTCCAACCTGAGACCTCACCTGGGAGATGCTCACGCCTGTGAGTCTTTCCACACTCTCTGGCAGGCGAGTTAGAATGTCCAGTACTTCCCCAGTCACTTTGGCTGCCCCCATGGTCCCACTGCCGCTGGACACCAGTGTGATCTTATTGGCTGAAGTCAAGGGACCACTGATCTCCTCTGCCACCTGGCAGGAGAGAGACACCCACTCAGTGCCCATGATCTGACCACATTCCTCATAAAACAACTTACTCTGGGTTTTAAGGTCCTCGTTCCACTGATCATCCTTCCTCACTTTGGTCACTAATAATTCCCACCCCTAATTTAGAGTCCCCCTAGGCTGTTTCTCCCTAAGCCCCTCACTACACCCCACCCCTTAGTCCCTGGTTCTATTTCCTCCTTTCTTGGTGCCCACATGACCTCCAGACCTGGGGCAGCTTCTCTAGCAGCATGTCCAGCTGAGCAGCCTCTTGGTACAGCTGGAAGGCTTCTGCCTTCTTGGCC
>NT_167244.2:2214564-2219086 GCF_000001405.40 Homo sapiens
GGCCAGTCCCTGCGGGCATCTAACTGCTAAGCCTCCGCTCAGCCAACACCCAGTTGGTCAGTCTGGTCACAGTCCAGCAAAAAGAGGGACTGCCACTCTAACCCACCAGTGACACCACTCTTCCCGGCTGGATGGTCAATTAGCTCTGGCATGAGAGAATGTCACTGCCGGTGAGCGCCAGCTTCAGGGTCCCACCCCCCCATGCCTGGCTCTTGGCTGAACATTTCTTCCCAGCGCTTCCAGCAGCCAGAGGCAGGCGCCCAAGCTCGCTGGCTGTTGCTGAGGGCCTGTAGGTGTGTCCAGGACTGAGTGGTGTGGTGGAGACAGGTGAAAGGGGAGTGAGTGGAAAGGCAGGGAAAGGCTGTTGTCCTTATTGCCACTCTTCCCACCCAGCGCCCACCTGTTCCCTGCCCCCTCGACGTCCCTCTGGCTTGGTCACCCATGTGTGTTAGAGGCTGGGCCCCAGTTCTCTGGGGATCCTGTGCCCAAGGGCCCGGGTGTGTGTGTCTCATGCTGTCTTTTGGTCACAGGAGCATGTGGTGTCTGTCATTTCATGTTCACAGGTGTCTGAAGGTGGCTATTCACTGAGCGATGGGGTTGGACTTGAAGGAATGCCAAGGTGTGGACGGGTTGATGTATGCATGAGCTTCTGTGTTTGCTCTGTCTCAGAAACTCTGTGAGGGTTGTCAGGGACACTGAGAGGTGGGTGTGTGCATGCCACATTTAGCCTCGCTGTTTACAGCCAGTTCAGTAAGTTTGTGTGTTTCACCGTGTGTGTGTGTACAGAGCTGTGTGGGTGTTGTCTGAGTGGGACTTGGGGGTTGGGAGAGGAGCGTGAAGGGCTTGAGGCAGGGTGGCCTGGCCCCTGGTTTGTCTTTGGTTGTAATGGAGTGGAAGGGGGTGGGATTGGGGAAGGTCTTCTGGGCTTGTCCTCTCTTGCCCTCTGGGTCTCTGACTATGGACTGAAGACCCAGTGGAGAGAGATGAGGTGACTGGGGGTGTTGGAGAACAGACAGCCCAGACGTCTCTGTGCTTCTCCGTGTTCCTCTGCTTGGCTCTGTGCCCCGTGTTTCTGAGCCTGCTCTATTTACCTCTTGCATTGTGGCTCTCGCTCTGTCTCCGCCTGCCTCGTATCCTCTGCCTGCCTTTGTATCTCTGCCCCGGGCTCCTCTCGGCTCTGTGTGGCTCTGATGACTCATCTGGGATAGGCATGAAGGTTACTTAGGGGAACAAGAGCCCCGCTGTTCCCGATAGAGGTGGGGTTGGAGAGCGGCACCCAGGAATTCCAAGCCAGTCTCCTGGGACTCTGGCAGCCTGCTCCCCGGCGCTGGACCCTAAGGGACCAGGCGTGATGCCTTCTGGTTCTAGCCTCTGAGTGCCCCCCACAACTCAGTCGTCCCCCTCAGCTGCTGCTTCAGAGCTCTGGGGTCTCAGCTGCCTCTTACATTCCTGCCCTAGTGCATTGTGGGAGCAGCTGGAGGAGGACAAAGGGATGGGGGAGTATCCCCCACTCCTCCTACCTCCTGGGGTGACCTGCCTTCCTTGTCTTTAGACCCGCCCTCGTCTCCAAGGCAACTCAGCCTTTCCTCAGTCCCTCAGAGGCAGCCACCTTCTGGAAGTGGGAACTGGGGGGACTGGATGTCTGGGTCTCAGGAAGGCAGAGCAGGGATAACTGGGCCCAAGATGCCCTGAACCTGATAAGAGGTGGCAGTCGAGTCCCTCAGGACTCCAGGGCCTGGAGACTTCAGTACAGGGCTCTGAGACCAGTACAGGTTAGGATAGCTTTTCCTGCAGCAGGGGAGGGGAGAGTAGTTACTTGGGTTTGTAAGGAGATGCCATTTAGAATAGTTTTATGTGGGGTAAGCTTCCTGGGCCTGAGGAACAGAGTAGGGATTTTCAAACTTTAATGGGCACAGGTCACCTGGGAATTGTGTTAAAAGGCAGATTTTGATTGAGCAGGTCAAGGGTGAGCCTGAGATTCTGATTTCTTCCATGCTTCCAGGTATTGCTGATGGTCCAGGGACCACCCTGGGCCTAGAGGGCTATAGGGGACAGTAAGACTAGAAGGTGCTGGGGTCCCCTCTGCCCTTCTCTTAGAATTCTGGACTCCTATGTGGGAGGGCAGCAGGGTGAGCTGGTCCAGGCTTATCTGATGTTTAATTCTATCATATCCTCAACAAGGAATTGCCCAACCTTTCCTGGGACATATTTATTTTTTAAAAGTCAAAATGATTTTCATATTCTTTTACATATCTTATGATTTTACATAAATGCATTTATGTTACAAGATTTAGAAAAATAGTACAATCAACCTGTCTTTTTAAATTTGCTTTTCTTTTGCCCCGTTCATGTTAACTCTTGTTATATTGTATTCTATTGTTATATTCTATTATATATTCTCTCCTTCTAGACATACACACAGGTATATATACAAACATGGGTGCTTGTTTATTCTATTTTCAAAAGGTGGGATATTTTTTATACTTCTGTTGCTTGCTTTTCATATTCAACAGATATACATGGAAATCACACAAAGTTAGGAATATATTGCCTCTTTGTTACTTTTCATAGCTGCATAGTAGTCAATAAACCTTATTTTTTTTAATTCCAGCCTGTCCCCTGTGGGCATTCACATATCTTACAGATTTATGTCTTACAAAAGGTACCATAATAAACATCTTTGAAATCTTCTTTTTTATTTTTATTTTTCACTTTTTTTAAAGAGATGGGGTCTCACTATGTTCACCAGGCTGGTCTCTAACTCCTGGCCTCAAGTGATCCTCCCATCTCGGCCTCCCAAAGTGCTGGGGTTACAGGCATGAGCCACCAGACCCAGACCTGCACATATGTTCTTACTTCCTGGTGCTTCTCTCTCGAGGGAATGCTGGGTCGAAGAGGATGTGCATTTTTAATTATAATAGACATTGCTAGATTGCTTTCCAAATAGAAGATAACACTCATTTCTGCCATTGAGCATGGTGCCTCCCTTTTCATCACTTTCTACCACTTTTATATGTTACAGCCTTAAAAAAATATCTTGTCAGTCTGCTTGGTATTTCCCTGAGGCTAGTGAATTTGACCATTAAAAAAAATGTTTGTTGGCAATTTGGCTTTGCTTTTCTGTGAAATGACTATTCACATTCTTTGGCTGTTTCTTTATTGGGTTACTTATATATTTTTTCTTGTCAGTTCCTAAGGGGCCTTAGTTTATTGTAGTTATTAAACCTTTTCCTGTTGTATGTGTTATAAACATTTTTTGCACACTTGTTGTTTGTTCTAAGCCGTTGTTTATGGGGATATTTTGCCCATTCCTGATTGGAGAAATGGGGCTTTAGGAAGTTATTTAACTGATCTCTGCCCTAGTTTCTTCATGTGTTAAATATGGATAGTAATAGTATCTACCTTATGAAGTGACTGTGAAGATAAAATTATGGATTCTGTTTAAGGGTTTAGGCCAGTGTCTGGCACAGGGGAAGCATTCTAAAAATATAGCTGATGCTGTTAAACAATGACTGTTGTTGTTGTTTTACTGTTATTATCCCCAAAGCGGCCCATTCTGTCTGTTGCTGTCAGCTATGACTCAGTCCCCTGATTAACTTACGCACCACCCATTTTATCCCCTGCAGAGATGCTGCCCCCACCCCCTTAGGCCCGAGGGATCAGGAGCTATGGGACCAGAGGCCCTGTCATCTTTACTGCTGCTGCTCTTGGTGGCAAGTGGAGATGCTGACATGAAGGGACATTTTGATCCTGGTGAGGAGACTGAATCATGGGTCCCTGAGGGCCAGGGCTTGGGAGGTAGAGAGTTGGGGGCCTTGACCTGTTACATGCCTGCTTTTTACTCAGCCAAGTGCCGCTATGCCCTGGGCATGCAGGACCGGACCATCCCAGACAGTGACATCTCTGCTTCCAGCTCCTGGTCAGATTCCACTGCCGCCCGCCACAGCAGGTACTTGGCACACCTGGCACACTTGTAGCTGCCCCGAGAGGAGCTCCTGGGACCTCTACTTCCCCTCCAACCCCTCTGCCCATGCCAGTGAAACCCCTGCAGGCTGAGGGGGCAAATGAAGTGGGGTTTAAATACTGGAGATGGAGGCAGACCTGGGGCCAGATGTTCTCTGTGCCCCTCTTCACCCTCAGGTTGGAGAGCAGTGACGGGGATGGGGCCTGGTGCCCCGCAGGGTCGGTGTTTCCCAAGGAGGAGGAGTACTTGCAGGTGGATCTACAACGACTCCACCTGGTGGCTCTGGTGGGCACCCAGGGACGGCATGCCGGGGGCCTGGGCAAGGAGTTCTCCCGGAGCTACCGGCTGCGTTACTCCCGGGATGGTCGCCGCTGGATGGGCTGGAAGGACCGCTGGGGTCAGGAGGTGAGACTGGCAGGGGCAGCACCCAGAGGAGGTTGGCTCTCCTCACTTCCAGCTGTACTTTAAACACCACCTATACGCTGACGACTCTCCAGTTTATATCATCTCCAGACTAAGCCTCTCAGCTGAGCTCCAAACAATATTGTAAACCTGGCC